>NC_000012.12:71551037-71702552 GCF_000001405.40 Homo sapiens
TTGACAAAACCTTAAGATGTTTGAAAGCTGTGTTTCTGTTGCTGACAATGATAGTTGTTCTATTGGAAATTTAATCGTAAATGGGGTATGACACCCAACTCTTAAAATTTGCTCCAAGTGACGTTATCTCAGCTATTATCAAAATGTGGCCCAAGGAGGGCCTTTGAGGCATCGCTTGTTCCTTCCCATTCAGTCTGTAGAAGCAGGAATCAGAAGATGATTGAAGTGGCATAGTGGCCAAAAGTGAGGAAGCTGCTTTCTATAGAAATGAGCTTCCTCCCAACAAAGAATTTCATTTCTAAATTGTTTAATTTTGGTTTGCAGGAGATTATTTTGTGATCCTGGTGTGCTTCCTGCATCTGTTTAGTCTTAAATGCTTCCAAAAACATTTTTCAAAATCCACTTCTGATTTTCTACTCCTTCCTAATACGTGGACCACTAAAATACAACTCTTCTTTTTTTTAATCCTACCTTTGAAAATGCAAATGTGTGCGTCTTAAAAGCAGATTGGGAAAAAAAACAAGTGAGAGCTGTTGGAAGCATAGTTTGAGTGATGTTGGTTCTAGTATTCATGCATCTTACAGAACATTGCAAACGATGTGAGTTTTGTCACTTCCATACGAAAAGTTAGGACCTTTAAATTATAGCCACTGTTTATGTTGGACTGGGGCAAAATAAATGTATTGCACTCCCTCTGCTGGCTTTTAGGTGGCAACAGCTCATTAACCAGACTTATTTTTAGATGTATTTCCCCATTTTAAAACAGATAAAAATGGAGTGTGGGAAAAGGAAGCAAAAGCTGGAAAGTTGTTAATTTTATTATTCATTTAAAATGTCAGAAAAACAAACATCTGCTTCATACAAATGGTTAGGATAAGCAAGAAAGCCAGCAGTTTTCAGGCCTTTCAGTGTTGTCCTAAGAAAAAGGATAGGGCCCCTTCTCTGTTTTCCCTGAGGCATGTCTCTAACAGTCTTTAAAAATGTACTCAGTTCCAGTGAGAACACGTGGACACAGAGAGGGGAACATCATACATGGGGGCCTGTCGGCAGGTGGGGGGCAAGGGGAGGGAGAGCATTAGGACAAATACCTAATGCATGTGGGGCTTAAAACCTAGATGATGTGTTGATAGGTGCAACAAACCACCATGGCACATGTATACCTATGTAACAAACCTGCATGTTCTGCACGTGTATCCCAGAACTTAAAGTAAAATAAAAAAATTAAAAATTAAAAAAAAATTACTCGGCCAGGTGCGGTGGCTCACACCTGTAATCCCAGTACTTTGGGAGGCCGAGGTGGGCAGATCGCATGAGGTCAGGAGTTCGAGACCAACCTGGCCAACATGGTGAAACCCTGTCTCTACTAAAAATGTAAAAATTAGCCAGGTGTGGTGGCAGACGCCTGTAATCCCAGCTACTCGAGAGGCTGAAGCAGGAAAATCGCTTGAACCCGGGAGGTGGAGGTTGCAGTGAGCCGAGATCGCGCCATTGCACTCCAGCCTGGGCGACAAGAGCGAGAGACTTCGTCTCAAAAAAAAAAAAAAAATTACGCAGTTCCTTCAAATACTGAAATGAAATAATCTTTTCCCAGAGCTTACTGAACAGCTTATTAGACTAGTATGTTTAGTATGTTCAAAACAGTCAGGGAAAGCAAAAACATTCCTTTGGCTTAGGGTGGGAGGAGGAAAAGGATATCTCTATGCTAGTGTCAGAAAGAAACTAAAAGATCATCACACTGAAACTCCATACCTCAGGGGAGGCCACTTCCATCCATGAGAGAACATTACCTACAAGCCTGGAAGAGAATTATAGCACCATGGAATTTTAGAGCCAGAGGACCTAGGAAGCAACAGTCTACACATGAATGAGAAGGAGAGATCATCTGGAGAGGAAAATGCTCCAGATGTCAGGGCTCTCGGGGACCCCAGGCCCTGTTCCACTCTTGTTCATCATGCATGGGGAGGGTTTTCCTGCAAAGTTGACCTTCTGCTTGGGCTTTGCTCTCTTTTCCATTCTTGCTTTCTTTCTTCCACAGGCGTCTGGATGCTAACCACATCAGCTATGTGCCCCCAAGCTGTTTCAGTGGCCTGCATTCCCTGAGGCACCTGTGGCTGGATGACAATGCGTTAACAGAAATCCCCGTCCAGGCTTTTAGAAGTTTATCGGCATTGCAAGCCATGACCTTGGCCCTGAACAAAATACACCACATACCAGACTATGCCTTTGGAAACCTCTCCAGCTTGGTAGTTCTGTAAGTTTTATTGATTTTGCTCTCTTTTAACAGTTTCTAATGTCACTGGAAGACCTTGGCCTTAAAATGCTGGCTCTTCAAAGCTCAAATGGGGACATTTTAAGGGAGGAAAACCTCCTGAGCCCCTCCCCAAAATGACTTATAAATGCTCCAATTGTGTAAATGACTTAAACAATACTTATCAATTACCTGCTAGATGCCAAGCACAGCAGGGCATACAAAGATAATGAAATATGACCTGTGCCTTAGAGAAGCCCCTTGCATGTTGCACAAGGAGTCACCGCACTGTACAGTTAGTACAGTAACCTAAGTTAAACATTCCTTATTTTAAAAAATAATTGATAATTCAGGTCAAATTGAAAGATGCTCTTCTTATTATCTAATAAGAACTTTGTGAACCCTTACCAAGGAAAGAGAAGTGAGAACAAATGATGTAACTGCTCAATGAGTTCTTTTTGCCCACTGCCCAAATAGAGCCAATTTATTAAGACAAGAGAATTGCAATAAAGAGTAACACACAAGGCCGGCACAGTGGCTCATACCTGTAATCCCAGCACTTTGCGAAGCCAAGGCGGGTGTATCACTTGAGGTCAGGAGTTCGAGGCCAGCCTGGTCAACATGGTGAAACCCCACCTCTACTAAAAGTACAAAAATTAGCTGGGCGTAGTGGCACATGCTTGTAATCCCAGCTACTAGGGAGGCTGAGGCCGGAGGATCAATTGAACCCAGGTTGCAGTGAGCCAAGATTGTGCCACTGCACTCCACCCTGGGGAAGAGAGTGAGACTCTGTCTCAAAAAAAAAGAAAAAATAGTTTAGCACACATACAGCCAGCTCAATGGAAGACTAGAGTTTTATTATTACTCAAATCAGCCTCCCTGAAAATTCAGAGGCAAGAGTTTTTTAAAGATAGTTTGGCTAGCAGGGAGCTAGGGAATGGGGAATGCTGATTTGTTGGGTCAGGGATGAAATCATAAGGGATTGAAGTTGTCCTCTTGCTCTGAGTCAGTCCTGGATGAGGGCCTTAAGACCACATGGGCCAGTTTACCCATCTGGGTGGTTCCAGCTGATCTATCAGAATGCACGGTCTGAAAAATATCTTGAACACCAATCTTATGTTTTACAATAGCGATGTTATCTATAGGAGCAACTGGGGAGGTTAGGAGTCTTGTGGCCTCTGGCTGCCTGACTCCTAAACCATAATTTCTAATCTGTGGCTAATTTGTTACTTCTACAAAGGTAGCCTGGTCCCAAGGCAAGGAGGGAGTTTGTTTCAGAAAAAGACTGTTATCATTTTGTTTCAAAGATAAACTATAAACTAAATTCCTCCCAAAGTTAGTTCAGCCTATGCCCAGGAATAGACAAGGGCAGCTTGGAGGTTAAAGGCAAGATGGAGTCGGTTAGGTCAGATCTCTTTCATTGTCATATTTTTCTCACTGTTGTATTTTTGCAGAAGTGGTTTAATTGACAGCATGTTATGCATTTGCACAGTTTTTTCCCACCATATGTCTAGATTTCATTATTTTAGTAAATCCAAAATGATTCTCAAACAAGTAATAGTTTGAAAAATAATCAGTTTTCTTTAAAAATGTAGCAGTATGACCCCCACATGTATAATATAATAACCAATCAATGAGGAAGGCTTCTTCTCACTATTTCTCTCTTTGCTTCATGCCCACCCACTGGCCCACCGCTCTCTTCAATCATTCCACTTGATGACATGTCTGTCCCTTGCACTGTAGTATATACTCCTTTGAGGGCTGGCCAATATCTTATTTATTGTTTTAGGTTCCCCTCAATCTCCTTCCTTATATGCTGCATGTAGAATATCCTCAATGAATATTACATAAATCTCACCTAAAACCAAAATTTATTTATTAGAAAAAAAATCTTAGTATGGAAGGAAAAGAATTTTTTGTGATATTAAAAAATTTCTACACTGAATTTCACATATAAAGATGATGCTACTGACCCACCAGAAGCTGGGTATGTGCTTTAATTTCTTTTCCTCCACTAGAGGAAATGGATTTACACAGATCCAGCTGTACTTTTTCACCCTATCCTCCTTAAGCCCATTTTCTAAAATCCTTTTGAGAGTTGGTCCAGTTTTCAGTTGTGCACAGCTGTTCTCACTGGCTCTGACCTAACTGACTTACCAATTGAACCAAAGATGATAATTATATACACTAATACTGTGTCAAGATAACTAATCTCCTTGGGCAGCAGAAAAATCTGATTACCATTGCCTGTGACTGAAATCATTGTTTCCTGTTGACCTGTGCTCCCGCCCTGGGAAGGTAGCCATTATAGGCCTTCATCTTTATTAGAAAATGTGCTTGCTACATCTATCCTCCAGGTGTCAATGATGGTCAGTATCTCTGCTTAACATCCTATATCCCAAAGCCATGCTGAACAAACTATGCTTACAAATATGCCTTGAGAATGTAAATTAGTTCAACCATTGTGGAATACAGTGTGGCAACTCCTCAAAGACCTAAAGACAGAACTACCATTTGACCCAGCAATCCCATTACTGGGTATATACCCAAAGGAATAGAAATCATTCTATTATAAAGACACATGCATGTGTATGTTCACTGCAGCCCTATTCACAATAGCAAAGATGTGGAATCAGCTGAAATGCCCATCAATGATAGACTGGATAAAGAAAATATGGTACATATACACCATGGAATACTATGCAGCCATAAAAAAGAACAAGATCATGTCCTTTGCAGGAACATGGATGGAGGCCATTATCCTTAGCAAACTAACACAGGAACAGAAAACCAAATACTGAATGTTCTCACTTAGAAGTGGGAGTTAAATGATGGGAGCACACATGGACACACAGAGGGGAACAACACACGCTGGGGCCTCTCAGAGGGTGGAGGGTGGGAGGAGGGAGAAGATCAGGAAAATAACTAATGGGTACTAGGCTTAATACCTGGGTGATGAAATAATCTTTACAATAGACCCCCATGACACAAGTTTACCTACATAACAAACCTGCACATGCACCCCTGAACTTAAAAATTAAAAAAAAAAACAGCCTTGAAACCCAAAGTTACTTATATCAATTATGTTCCTCATATTATTATACACACCCTGATGTCCTGAAGCTAAAAGGTAAAAAACTGTGACTGTCTTTTAAATTCTGTGGTATAGAATCATCTGTGGTATGAGTGAATGCAGCATATAGCCATTTTTTACATTGGCTTCTTATAAGTAGTGCATTCTTCAGTATATGTTTCTTTGGATTTAAGCTATCAAAATGTTAAGTGTGGTCTGTGCAGTGTGCCTTCCTAACTATCTGTAATGTTCTACTGCAGACATCTCCATAACAATAGAATCCACTCCCTGGGAAAGAAATGCTTTGATGGGCTCCACAGCCTAGAGACTTTGTGAGTTGACCTTTTATTTGTTTCCCTTTTTTCAGTATTTTCATGAATATTCTGAAGAATCAAAATAGCCTTAAAGCCAGACTTTGTTTGGTTTGGTTAATTGCCTAAGCTTTCAACAGATATTTACAGTGGCATTATCTTACACACACAACCCCCACAGAGCTAAACAATAAAACTGGGATTTTATTTTAATCTAATGAGAGTGATAAATTAGTTAGAATCATTATAAATTAAATGAGATGTTCTCTACTAAGCAGTGACTATTTGCTTAGAAATGTGTAGTCTCTGTCAAGGATCACTCAGGCTCACTGTTCATGAGTCTGGTACTCCCTGCTGAATGAGAGGATGCAGGCCAGGCCAATGCCTGCGTCTTCAATCTCAGATGAACAGGCATCTCTTTAGGAAACAGTGATGGCTCATGCTAAAGCAATTCAAAAGATGAAAAAGGGACTGGGCGTGGTGACTCATGCCTGTAATCCTAACACTTGGGAAGCCAATGCGGGAGGATCGCTTGAGCCCAGGAATTTGAGGCTGCAGTGAGCTGTGACCATGCCACTGCACTCCAACCTGGGTGACAGAGCAAGACCTTGTCTCAAAAAAAGAAAAAAGAGTGAAAAGTAATAGTAGCTACTATTTATTGAATATATCTATAATCAAATATTGCACTGAGCATTTGGCATACATTGTTTTAATTACTTCTTACAGCCATCCTATGAGAGCAGATATTACTATCCCATTTTAGGCTCTAGTGAGGTAAAGTTATTACATATCTAGTCAGTAGCAGAACTGAGATTTGCTTTCTCCTCTAGTCTGATTCTGAAATCCATGTTTACTACTACATACTACTTCCAAAGAATAAGTCAAAAGTTCAGTTCTTAATTGGTACCTATAGTAAAAATAGAGTCAAGCCAGCGGACCATATCCTAGACACTCTCACAGAGCCAAGGTAGAGGTTCTTGTGGGCCACACCAGGGCCCCAGGCTTTTCCCAGGGGAGGAGCTGCTCTTCATTGCCCTGTTGAGAAAGGTGTGATGAGACTGAGGTGATAGGCAGGGAGGGTCCTGAGTGTGCTGGGAGAGGAGGGTAGTTGCAGCCATGACACCATCCCTACCCTCACATTTTTAATGCTCAAATGCAATAAACCACACAGGTCACTGAATCTGCAGTGCTGGCTCTGACCAGAACTGCAAAAGGAAAAGACCAAAGACCACTTCTCCTGTGCCCTTGGGGCCCACTGTTCATTTGCACACAGAGCTTAGGAATTTGTTCATGATCAATTCAGCTTCTAACCAGATCTGGGTTACTAATTTCCTGAGGGACCCTGTGTTGGTGGTATTCTTCTAGCCTATGAGCACTAACAGCTCTTTCCAGGGTTAAGTCACCCTGTGTTTCTTCTTACGTGGCAAAGATGGACTTGTCCAGGGAGGACCTTTATGTCAACTTAATGGCATAGACAAGCAGTTCCCATCAGCTGCTAGGAAAAATTAGAACTCTTATCTACAAAACGCTGGGCTCAGAAATCTCAGCAATGGAAATCACCTTCCAGCCCTTTTGAACAATAACAGGAATGAAAAACAAGATGGGCTTTGATGGGTATTTCCATAAATAGTCTTTTTTTTCCCCTCAATGTTTGGGGTAAGGACCCAGGATTGCATGTAAATAACATAGAGCAAAACATGTCAGGGAAAAGTTCATGTGAGTCTTATTGTCTCCCCTTCCTCTACCTTGCCCAGGGCTACAGAGGATAAGCAATTTGGTTATTCCCAGCCTCTTCCTTTCCCTACTAGAAATCCAAGTAATTTATAAGGGTCCAATCCTTGTTTAATCAAAACAGAGCATCTGGAGAGATTTACAAACAGGAAGAAAATTTATGTCTACAAAAGACATGCATTTCCTGCCTGCAGTATAGCTTAAGGATGGTTTGTGCCAGACAAGTAGGAACCTTGATTCATGTTTAACTCAGTCAAATTATCTCTCTCTTTAAATTAAATAGCAATTCTCCACAGAGGAGGATCTAACCACATCTGATTGCCTGACGAAAAGGTTTTTCTGCGTCATCTGGGAAATCTGCCATTCCCAGAGACCAGGAGGCAATTACTTTTTCATACGAAGATCTAGATATAAGGTAGAGTAAGTCTGTAAAGCACTTGTGAGTAATGAAATTGAAAAGCCAATTGTGCTATAACAGATACAGAAACTAATGATTTGAGATAATTTGACCACTTCATCTCTGGCCTTGAGGGATAACATAGAGCTTTGCTGCACAGATCAAGGAAAACATCCTATTTCTGAATTATTTGTGACTCCTTGAAGAAATTCTAGACCAAATGTCCTTTCTGAGATTACCCTGTCTCACATAAACCTCTCCAGAAGCAAGGTTCATCCTGGACTTCAGGCTAGGAGGGATGTGGGAACCCTGTGAAAGTCAAGGACAAAGCAGCCCTGCAAGATTTCATGTCACAAGGGAGTGAAGGAGGGAACAAGAAAAGGGATGTGATCCAGGAGCCCTGAGGAGTGCAAATTCACGCTGGCCAATTAGTGAGCCCGGTTCAGTTGAAGAGCTCCATCCGCCAGCCGTCAACACCTGGCCAAAGAGACATCTCTCCTACTTAGAAGTTAATACTCCTGCACACTCCCTTTCTTTTTTAGACGCCCCAGTGCCATTGAGTCCTGACTCTCAAATTTCTCATGATTAGTCAAATGACCATTTTAACGCAGATACTTATAGAATGTTGGTAGTCAGCAAGCCAAGAAAATCTCTTTCCATAAAGAAAAGCAGTGAGAACTTCCATTAGTCATATGGGTTCCTTGGAATAGCATGTTAACTTTCCTTGTAAATAGAGTATATATGAAGTTTTAAATAAAAAACTGAAAATACTATGTACTCATTTTCAGAGATTTAAATTACAATAACCTTGATGAATTCCCCACTGCAATTAGGACACTCTCCAACCTTAAAGAACTGTAAGTATTTAGGACAATTTTAATGGGAGAACTTTATCCTTTTGTGAATTTATTTAAAAATACATGTGATTGTTTTACATAATATGACTTGCTAGAAAATTTTAAGTTTATATAAATAATGATAAAGTACACTTGAAATATATTTTAATTGATTCTATCTCTAGCAAATACCAGATAATATTTTTTATTTATGCGGGGTTTTTCTAACATATATATTAAAAAAACATATATTTCTGTAAGTCATATTCTTTTCTCTTTTTCTAAGCCATACATACTCTCCCACCATTTATGTACTTTATAGATTTGTAGATTTTTAGTAGTAGAACTAAAATGGAATTTAATTGCTGAGCATTTCTGAGAACTTGAACATTTCTGGGTTGCATAAGTCTAGAAATAAATGAATCAAACTGTCTGTGCCTAGTAAAGTATGAGATGCATTCACATACATTGCAGCTGACCCTTGAACAACTAGGGGTTAGGGACAACAACCCTTGCACAGTAGAAAATCCATGTATAACTTTTGACTTCTTAAAAACTTAACTACTAATAGTCTAATGTTGGCCAGAAGCCTTATCAATAATATAAACAGTCTATTAACACATATTTTGTATATGTATTTTGAACTATATTCTTATAATAAAGTAAGCTAGAGAAAAGAAAATGTTATTTAAAAAATTCTAAGAAACAGAAAATATATTTACTATTTATTAAGTGGAAGTATATCATCATAAAGGTCTTCATCCCTGTCATCTTCACATTGAGGAGGCTGAGGAGGAAGAGGAAGAGGAGATGTTTGTCTCGTTATCCCAGGGGTGGCAAAGGCAGAAGAAACCCCACATATAAGTGGAGCCATGCAGGCCAGCTCAATGGGTCATGCCTGTAATCCCCGTGCTTTGGGAGGCCGAGGCAGGCAGATTACTCGAGGCCAGGAGTTCGAGACCAGCCTGGCCAACATGGTGAAACCCCGTCTCTACTAAAAATACAAAAATTGGCTGGGCCTCGTGGCACATGCCTATAATCCCAGCTTCTTGGAAGGCTGAGGCACGAGAATTGCTTTGAACCAGAGGGGCGGTGATTGCAGTGAGCCGAGATTGCACCACTGCACTCCAGCCTGGGAGACAGAACAAGATTCTGTCTCAACAACAACAAAGAAAAGTGGATCCAGGCAGTTTAAATCCATTTTGTGCAAGGGTCAGCTGTATTTCATTTGTAAATGTTCAATGAATCTTATTTAATTCTAAAACCCCACAATTTTACTAAAGAAAAGCTGACTTTCAGCCATTGGTTTGCATATACTGCCTTTTAGATGATAAAATTTAATTAGCTTTTTCATATCTAAAAAGATAAATAATCTATGTTAGTAATGTTCTAACACTTGGAAAGGAAAATAAACACTGAACCTCATTCCCCTAGCAGTGAGAAATAAGACATACAGCTAAAGGAGACACAGAGGAGCTTGTTTATAAGAAAAACCCTTAGGGTGTTCTGACTTAGGAAACCCCATGTGTGGCTTAGCTGGGCAGTGGCTTCATGGCATGGGGTCACCTCATACAGCCACAGGCCCAAATAAGCTCCAAAGATCATTGAACCTGCTTCTCAGCCATTCAGACAACATCAACAACAACAGATGACAATCAGCTTATAACTACAGATTCACTGAGCCAGGGCACCTTTCTTCAAGTCAGAAAATTTTGTCCTCATAAGGAGACTACTTAAATCTTTACTTCACTGCAGCTTAAGTCAATTTTCTCTTCTAGCTTCAAATGGGGTCAGTAGGAGTGATCATAATCTCTCCAAAAATGGTTTCCACTCTCTCAGGCTTTTATACAATGATGCTCTATTGGATATTAACAGATTTTCTTCTTATAACATTAGATTGTAAGTTTCCATGAAGTGCAGTTATTATTTTCAGATTCTTTATTTCTCTTTTAAGATGACAGCACATGACTTTTTTTATCCTCTAGAGAGTAAATAACGGCACCTAAGTTTCAAGATGCATAGAGGAATTTAATATTGTCCTCTGGTTACTAAAGGTTCTGATTATTGCCACTGTGGTCAGGGTGGGGGCCTCTATTAAATAATTTTACCCCACACAGGATTTTTTATAATTTTTTTTCTCTTTCTAGAGGATTTCATAGCAACAATATCAGGTCGATACCTGAGAAAGCATTTGTAGGCAACCCTTCTCTTATTACAATGTAAGTGACCATAATGCTTTTCGGTTTCTCCATCCTGAAATATAGCATATATTATACTTTGAAATACAATGAATATTCTATATTTGCCTGAGTTTTGTCTTAGTCAATCTAAGAGTTCATACAGAAAGGTATATACACATGCATTTTGCCAGGTTCTAGCTGAACACTGAAATAATATAAAAGATTTTTTTAAAGATCACATTATGATTGGTATCTCCAGATGTGCTAGGTATCTTTAAAATAATCTTGTAAAATGCTTTTGATTACCTCTATTTTCTAAGAAATAAAACTGATTTTTAGAGCATTAATGTCAAGTCTGCATAGTCATTCTGAACTTAAACCCGAGTATACTAGAAATATAAATTATTATATACAAATGGATGTCTTTTACAGCAATAGACTCCAGCCTAAATTGATGGTAGGGGTTTTATACTGTTTTGTGCTAAGCCTCTATCTCCATTCATTATTATGCCCAAACATTCACATTTATACAAACTAGGATGTAATTCTAGAATGATAAATAACATTTTAGAAAGGTGTGTATGAGGATTTATATGCCATAAAAGAATAAAATCGGCCAGGCACTGTGGCTCATGCCTGTAATTCTAACACTTTGGGAGGCCAATGCAGGAGGATCACTTGAGCTCAAGAGTTGGAGGTTACAGTGAACTATGATCATGCCTCCGAAGTCTATCATGGGCAACAGAGCCCTGTCTCCAACAAAAGGATAAAATAGAGTTACAACTACAAAGTATAACTAATTTTATGTTTCATATTTAATACAGTAGAATGATGATATACAGTTCTGAGTATGAGGCTGGCTCTTAGACAAAAGGCTCCTCTCGGAGGCAGATTTGGGACACCATCAAACCTGAGGTTGTGAATGAGAAGCCTGAATATAGAGGAGGAGAGTAAGGACAACTGTTAAACATGACTCTAGGGGCACTTCTCAGCAGATGTTGGTCCTGTGCCAACTGGAGTGACGGGCTTTCTGGGACCATGTGGTATTTGTCACAAATGAGCAGGAGTCCCAATTAGCCTTGACAACCAGAAGAAAAAAACTATTCATTGTTTCTGAAATGTTCTGGCAATATTTTGGCAAACTAAGAGTTTTAAAGTACATTGACAATAAACATTAGCCCTCATTAGAGCGTATTTGCGTATTAAGAGGTTGGCAAATTACATTGCCTTTGCTCCTCCTTCTGCAGCCACAGTACTGGTTTTTCATCACTCTTTTGATATGCTAATACTCCCTGAGGAACTAGCGGCGCCAACCCCAACTCTATATATATTAGACCTCCTATCCACTATTTGACAGTGGTGACCACTTTCTCCCATAAACTCTCCTCTCCTTGCTCCTGCATCTGTTTCCATCTCTTCAAAGCCCGCATTTCTGTGAATGCTTTCCAGGTCCAGTTGGCTACCCACTCCTCATTTCCACCTCTGTAGTCCCCATCCTATCCATACCTCCTGACCTCCACTGCACCAGCCTCTCTGCCAACCATGACATCCAGATTTTCACCAGTCTGCGTGAGGCTGGCCTCCCTCCCTTCACCGTTGGCAGCACTCATCTTCCTTGAAGCACGGCAACCATCTTGTTACTTCTGCTGTGAAATGTGCGTTCAGGATGTCTATTTACACTAAATGCAAACTCCTCATCCTGACATTCACAGTCTAAGGCCACACATGGCCTAAGCCAACCCTGTCAACCAGTTCCCCAAAGCTCTCCTCATTCACCCTAATTCATAAACCAGACTGACTAAGTTATGTTCACGGAACAAAGCTCTTTTCTTACTTCCTTTGCTCCTACGATCCCATTCCCTCACTATGCTTCTTGAAATTCTTTCAGGGCCCATTTTAAAAGCCATTTCTTGAAGTTTTTTATAATCTCTCCCGAACATATGAGAGAGTTCCCTCCTGAGAACCCTAAAACTCCTTATGTGTGTTTATGATACTTCTGCCTTATGCACACAAGCATGTATATTCATACCTGCCCAGTGTGTGTGTGTGTGTGTGTGTGTATATAGTGTGTATATATATACTGTGTGTATACATATACATATATACATATATATGTACACACACACCGTGTATATATGCATATATACGTATCTGTACACACGCACTGTGTATATATGCATATATACGTATCTGTACACACGCACCGTGTATATATGCATATATACGTATCTGTATACACGCACCGTGTATATATGCATATATACGTATCTGTACACACGCACCGTGTATATATGCATATATACGTATCTGTACACACGCACCGTGTATATATGCATATATACGTATCTGTACACACGCACCGTGTATATATGCATATATACGTATCTGTACACACGCACCGTGTATATATGCATATATACGTATCTGTACACACGCACCGTGTATATATGCATATATACGTATCTGTACACACGCACCGTGTATATATGCATATATACGTATCTGTACACACGCACCGTGTATATATGCATATATACGTATCTGTACACACGCACCGTGTATATATGCATATATACGTATCTGTACACACGCACCGTGTATATATGCATATATACGTATCTGTACACACGCACCGTGTATATATGCATATATACGTAACTGTACACACGCACCGTGTATATATGCATATATACGTATCTGTACACACGCACCGTGTATATATGCATATATACGTATCTGTACACACGCACCGTGTATATATGCATATATACGTATCTGTACACACGCACCGTGTATATATGCATATATACGTATCTGTACACACGCACTGTGTATATATACATATATGTACACACACTGTATATATACATATATACATATATGTACACACACTGTATATATACATATATACATATATGTACACACACTGTATATATATACATATATACATATATGTACACACTGCATATATACATATATACATATATGTACACACACTGTATATAGATACACATATATGTACACACACACTGTGTATATATACACATATATGTGCACACACTGTATATATACATATATAAATATATGTATACCCACACACTATATATACATATATGTGTATATATACATACGTATGTGTATATATACGTATGTGTGTATATATACGTGTGTATATATATATACGTACATGTATGTGAACACAATTATATGCATAAAGTACATGGTATAGCTAAGAGCTGATAAGATATTAAGAGGAAAGCTCCATTTTTCATCATAAGGCCCATATTCCAGCTCTAGCTCTTTCTCTTACTGATTAATCCCAAGAGAAAAGAAGAGCTCAGTGGGTAGGACAGAAGAGGATTTAGGTTTGTTGGGTAGCAACTGTATCCCAGGTTCTATTTCAAATGTTACACATGCATTAGCTCTTTTAATTCTTATCCAAACCCTACCACTAAGCATTATTATCTCAGCTTAACAAATTAGAAAATTGAGGCTCTAGGAGGTAATGAGCTTGCCAAGGTGTCTGAGCCTCAATTTTCTCTTCCAAAAGTGAAGAAAATAGTATCTACACTATGAATCTCATAAAGTTGTTGCATGGATCAATTGAGCTATATATATATATATATATATAGCTCATATATAGACATATATACATATACATATATATATATATATAACACATACATATATGCAAGAGCTTTGTTAAGTAGAAAGTGATATGCTGTTATTTATTTGCTTTATCCCAACTGAATCCAGGCTCCTTTACCACAGGAACATCTTATCATTCTTCTTCAAACCCCCAGCATCTAGTATAATGCCAAGTCCAAAGTAGTTACCCAATGACAGCTTTTTAATGAATCAATCTTTAAATCCTCACATACCTACCCTCATACTTTAAACGTGGTAGACATTAGTGAATATTTGTTGAGTTTAATTGGACTAGAAGAATGACTCAGCTAAAAAGTATATGGCACTCCATTGACCAGGCAGTTCAAATACCACTACATTGAAAACATCTGTAAAACAAAATATTTTTTAATCTCTAATAATGTCTCACCTTTTAAAACAATAATTAATTCAAGAAAATTCTAATTTTAGACATATGCCAGAATAGCTCATTTCCTCTCCAATAATCTGATGAGTCTCTTGTGTATGTTATGGTGACCAGCAGATATAATAACCTTCAGTTGATATCGATAGATAGACTTCGTCTTTCATTAAGTAATGATCTGATTGCCAGTACTTTGAATTACCTTTTTGCCACTCAATGGATATTCTACAGATGTTGGAGGGAGAGGAAACTGTTAAGTATTCAATTTACTTGCTTTTCTCCTTAGTAACTATCACTCATATCTCCCTTGTTGTCAGAAATCTTCAATTTTATATAGTACAGATTCCTTACCAAAAATCTCATACTGCGAGTCAAAACACTTTTGAGGCTTGCCTGAAACCAAGGAATTGGGAATGTTATGTAATACAGTATAATTAAAATTACATAAGTACATTTACTGTATTTGTTCAAATTTTGAACAGATATTCATCTTTCAAATTTTATACTAAGATATTAATTGCTGTTTGGGTTTCTTTTAGACATTTCTATGACAATCCCATCCAGTTTGTTGGGAGATCTGCTTTTCAACATTTACCTGAACTAAGAACACTGTAAGTTTCTATGTCTCTTATGGATCACTTTCCCTCTACAGGGTTGCTGTGAAAAACCAAATGAATATTATAGGTTGAAGTGCTTTGAAAATGGCAATAAAAATTACCCCTGTCTAGAATCTTCTACCAGTAATACTTATATACTCCTCTTTCTAGGACTCTGAATGGTGCCTCACAAATAACTGAATTTCCTGATTTAACTGGAACTGCAAACCTGGAGAGTCTGTAAGTACTGAGTAGACTCTTGACTTTGCCCAGAACATACACTGCCATTAGAGCTTGATCAGTCTTAACATCAGTGAGTCAAAATATGTCACTGTGTGATGCCTGAATGAAAGAATTATGTCTGGTTTGTGTTTTAACAGGACTTTAACTGGAGCACAGATCTCATCTCTTCCTCAAACCGTCTGCAATCAGTTACCTAATCTCCAAGTGCTGTGCGTATCAGTAAGGCAATAATGTTGTGTAAACAGGCAACTTCCATTTAGGGGTGAAATGGCAGACATGATTTCAATAATCTCTTTAAAAGAGGAGAAAGTTTTTCCTTTCAGGTCTGCAGGAGGTCAAGCCTCCTTTGCCCTCTTTGGTCCAGGCTCTCTGACATGATCCTGGTAACAAATGGTAATGTACCCTTTGTTTTCTAAGTCCCAAACAAGCTCCCACTAGACTTTCAGTTGGCACATGTTTTCTTTCAGAAAAGATATGAAGAGGCCAAAATCACTTTATTTCCCCCTCTAAAGGCTTTGCAGAGCAGAACAAAATAACATAATGGATCAACCACCCAATATGGATGCCAAAATCAAAAACTGAGATCTCAGATCCACACAATCCTTGATAAAGGTGATCAAACATCCTTCCAGTATAGTTGTCAATGCCATGTTCTAATGTTTCCTGTAATGGTTAAACAGCTTGCATATGTTATTTCTATTGACTTGGGACTTTTTTCCTCTGCCTTTCCCATGTGTTATGAAAAAAAGTAGTTTACATGGATTCAAGGAGACTTGTTTTGACCTTCCATTTTTCAGCCTTCTCCCTCAACTTCCACTCAACACAATCATTGTCCTCTCAAGCATGTTGGGACTTAATAAAAGGACTCTTAATCTTTTGCCATGGCTCTGCACTCACATAGAAGGCACCTGTGGCAATTGAGCGCCTGCAATTTCACTATAAGCTTTACTTAGCAGCACTCAGAATGTTAAGTAGATAAACGGGAATGGCTGCCTCTGTGATTCTGCCTTTCCCCAGCCCCAGCCTGCCGTGTCACTTCAGACTCCAGTTGCTCAATGATATGTGGGTGCAGTGACACCACATGGTAGCCTTGGAGTCAGTGATTCACATCTGAAGAAAGGGAGTATAGAGCAAATCTTTCTTTGCCCTACCCCATCCCACCCCATGAAGTGCAGCTACAGATAAGAAAGCAGTATTAGAGAATTTAATTTGTTAAAATCACAAAGCAAGAAAGAAGCGAGTTTGAATTCAAATACAATCAATTTGATTGAATAACTGGGAGAAAGTGTGTGTATATCAGGTGGTAGAAATTTGGGGGGCCATGTTAGAATTCTGCCTACCACACCCAGAACAGGTATAATCATCCCCATTTCTCCAGAAAACTGGCGCAGTTATATGATTAGGATTTTACATACTGGAGCTAGTAAGTAAGGAACCAGTGTTTAAACTGCATCTCTCTCTGCTATGTCACACAATGAGTGGTAACCACTCAGGTCTAGAACTGCATGAATGGAGGCTCACTGGCAAAATGACTTTAAAAGCAAAGGCTGTGGAGCCAACTTTTCTGGTTCAAATCCAAGCTCTCTATATGCCAGCACAGGATCTTGAGCACATTATTATTCCTCCTGGAGCTCAGTTTCCCAGTCTATAAAAGGAGATGTAGCCACTTCCTTCAGAGGGTTCTCATGAGGACTGATTAAATGACTACATGTCAAACAGTTACAGCAGCACCTGGGACACTGTAACTCTCAGTCAGTGTTAACTTTTATCATCTTTCTCACTTCCCTGGAACCATTATTCTTTCCTTGAGTTGGAACTTGAAAAGCCGGGAGGAATACACATAACATTCATAGTAGATCTTGCCATTTTCAAAGCATTTTCACCTATAATATTCATTTGTTCTTCCCAATGACCCTGCAAAATGGTGTCTTCTCATTTAGGAGAACTGAGAAAGATACCAATGCTTAGCTAGTGTATCAACCAAGTAGAATTAGCTGAAGTTGAGACTAGAACCCCAGAGCCTCACCCCTAGTACAAGGTGCTTTATGTTCTCCTGGGGGTATAGATCTGAGAGCTCTCCCCTTTGGCTAACTCATCCACTGAGTACTTGTTACATGAGGAAATTTCACTGTACATGACTAGTTTTGCGTCATGTGCATGGGAATTATTTAGCCCATTCTGTAGGTTATGTGTAACTTTCCCCACTTACTAGCTGGTCAGCTTAGGCAAGTCATTTCATATTGTATGGGTAGAATTATGGTGTCTCCCTCATAAGGTAGCCACAGGAATTAAACCAGATAATTCAAGTAAAGCTATAAACATGGTACCTTTATATAAGAAGTGCTTGGCAATGGGCAAAGGATTCCCTGTTTAATAAATGGTGCTGAGAGAACTGGCTAGCCATATGCAGAAAATTGAAACTGGATCCCTTCCTTACACCTTATACAAAAATTAACTCAAGATGGATTAAGACTTAAATGTAAAACTTAAAATATAAAAACCCTAGAAGAAAATCTAGTCAATGTCATTCAGGACATAGGCATGGGCCAAGATTTTATGATGAAATCGCCTAAAGCAATTGCAACAAAAGCAAAAATTGACAAATGGGATCTAATTAAACTAAAGAGCTTCTGCACAGCAAATGAAACTATCATCAGAGCGAACAGACAACCTACAGAATAGGAGAAAATTTTTGCAATCTATCCATCTGCCAAGGGGCTAATATCCAGAATCTACAAGGAACTTAAGCAAATTTACAAGAAAAAAACAACCCCATTAAAACGTGGGCAAAGGATATGAACAGACACTTCTCAAAAAAAAAGACATACATGCAGCCAACAAACAGATGAAAAATAGTTCAACATCACTGATCATTAGAGAAATGCAAGTCAAAACCACAATGAGATACCATCTCACACCAGTCAGAATGGCAATTATTAAAAAGTCAAGAAACAACAAATGCTGGCAAGGTTGCAGAGAAATAGGAATGCTTTTACACTGTTGGTGGGAATATAAATTAGTTCAACCATTGTGGAAGACAGTATGGCAATTCCTTAAATATTTAGAACCAGAAATACCATTTGACCCAGCAATCCCATAACTGGGTATATACCCAAGGGAATAGAAATCATTGTATTATAAAGATATATGCCCATGTATGTTCATTGAAGCACTATTCACAGTAGCAAAGACATGGAATCAACCCAAATGCCCACCAATGATAGACTGGATAAAGAAAATGTGCTACATATACACCATGGAATACTATGCAGCCATAAGAAGAAATCAGATCATGTCCTTTGCAGGGACATGGATGAAGCCGGAAGTCATTATTCTCAGCAAACTAATGCAGGAACAGAAACCAAACATTGCAAGTTCTCACTTGCAAGTGGGAGCTGAGCAATGAGAACACATGGACACAGGGAGAGAAACCACACTTAACTGGGCCTTGCCGGGGGAGGGTGGGAAGGGGAAAGCATTAAGGAAAAAAGCTAATGCGTCCGGGGCTTAATACCTAGGTGATGGGCTGATAGGTGCAGTAGACCACCATGGCACACGTTTACCTACGTAACAAACCTGTACATTCTGCACATGTACCCCAGAATTTTAAAAAAATAAAATAATTTTTTTTAAAGTGCTTGGTCAGTGTTAGCCCTGAAAATCATTAGGTAGAAGGCAACACTATGCCTTTATGTAGAAGGTCTTTTGTTCCCTCTATTAAGAGGTAGACAATGAAGGAGTATCCCCTTTGCAGCCTGCAGAGATGAGTAAACCAATTATCAGCTTTGATAATATGTGTGTCCATTTTATTATATTCGCTATTTTTCAAAAATACATACCATATTAATAATCAGGTATATTTGTGCATAGGTGTGAGATTTTGGAGGTATTGGGTGGGGGGGTATCTTTCAAACCTTCAGAAAGTTACAAATTTGGATTTACAAGCAGCTTCATTTGTACTATTTATGCGGAGTAAATGGACTTTATTCCTTTATAAATCCCATTTATTCAATAAATGTAGGATAAAGTGATCAATTATAAGACTAATTTGAAGCCCCTTAGAAAAAGTATGATTTTTCCCATTGCATAGTGGTGATCTGGTTTTAAGAATTAGAATCAGGCATGAAAATGTGTTAGTTGATTAGCTGATAACTTTTAAAACATGAAACAAAATTGTTCTTATATATCTATGTTACGTTATCTACCAACTTTCTTTTCTTTCAAGCTTTCGCAAATTATGATGGCTTGCTTTAGATTAGTTATATTATACTATAAATATGTCCAGATGTTTTTGTTATTCTGTAATTTGTTGAATTTTGGCTGAAGATTTTCTTAGATTCCGTTCCCCCACCTCCTTCTTGTAGTGATTGATTTCAAAGCTCCTGCTATGTTTTGAATTGTTAGGTTTTTTTAAAGAGTTGATTAGAAAAGAAACAACAATGATTTGTCTGAGCTGTAGAGATGTAGCAGCTCTTAGAGACAGAGGCACAATTATTTAATTTAATTTGTTCTCATTGCAGTAAGATAATAGCTAGAGCATTTAGAGAAGTACTAACAAAATATAAATGAATTCATTAAGTAAACTATTTAAATCAATTAAAGAAGTATAACAGTTACATTTCAGTAAACATTTGAATCTACTGGTTAATCCAATAATGGCTGTGACTACCTGCTCCATGTCAGGGCTATGAAAATGTTCAGAGTCTGCCTTTGGGAGATATAACATCTTGGAGGGAAAAGGAGAGCAAAGCATGTTTCTTTATGATTTATTTGTAACAGATTTTCCCTTTTTGCACCTTCTGTTTTTCAGAGATCTGTCTTACAACCTATTAGAAGATTTACCCAGTTTTTCAGTCTGCCAAAAGCTTCAGAAAATGTAAGTCTAGAAGTCTCTAAGTCACCTAGCAAAAATCAAGAATCAAAACTCACATTTCTCAGGGTCACTGGTTCATTTACCCTGTGGTTCACTGGGGAGACATGTGATCCTTTTCCTTCTTACACACACAAGGTGTGACTGTGCAGTGTGCTTAGAAAGTTGAGAAACATAGATAATATTATTTTTTCATGCACTGTACCATATTAGTAAAACATTTATTATATATCCGCTTTTTTCTCCCCCTAACTCAGGGTACTAGTGAATTGGGTGTGTTTGGGCTTTGAAATTTTTCTTATTTTAGAAGTACAACCAAACTTACATATCCAATGAGTGGTGTTATTTTTTAATATGTGGGGACTTGGGTTTGTTGGTGTGTTTGTTTCACAATAGTCAACTTTAGGGGAAGGCCATATTTGTCATATTTAAAGTGCTACAGATGGTACTTATGCATGAAACTCTTTAGAATTCCTCTCTTAACATTGCCTCCCCTACAAAACATCAGCCTTTTTTTTTTTTTTTCTCAAGATGGAGTCTCGCTCTGTCGCCCAGGCCGGAGTGCATGGCGTGATCTCGGCTCACTGCCACCTCTGCCTTGTGGGTTCAAGCAATTCTCCTGCCTCAGCCTCCCGAGTAGCTGGGATTACAGGCACCCATCACCATGCCTGGCTAATTTTTTGCATTTTTACTAGAGACGAGGTTTCATCATGTTGGCCAGGCTGCTCTCGAACTCCTGACCTCATGACCTGCCCATCTCAGCCTCCCAAAGTGCTGCGATTACAGGCGTGAGCCACCGCGCCCGGCCAAACTTGTTGTTTTATAGTCACACTTCAGTTTTGATCAAAACAATATTCACCATCTATCCCTTCACATTTAGTTTTTCTCTCAATGCCTTTGGGTGCTTAAGGGAAAAAAACAAAGCAAATCCATCTGTAAAAGGTAAAGAATTTACCCTCCTGAAGACCCTCAAAGAATCCAAGGGAGGCTCAGAAGGCAGCACTAGAAGAGTCCTCCAGTGTTTTGAATGATGATTGCATGTTTGGAATATGGTTTTACGTCCTCCCAAGCAAACTAGCTCCTTTGAAAGAGACAATACTTGAGTGTGTAAATGGTAATGTTCTTTTTTAAACAAACAAAAATCAGTCACTTGATAGATACACTTCATGTGTTCCTTTGATTAAGGGCAGGTAGTCCCTCTATAAAAGTTATCTGAAGTCTGTAGTCTTTGAAACCAGTAACTTTGAAATCAATCTTTGGAACCCTGTCATTTCAGTGACCTAAGACATAATGAAATCTACGAAATTAAAGTTGACACTTTCCAGCAGTTGCTTAGCCTCCGATCGCTGTGAGTATCACCTCCCAGTGCGTTCCCCAGCACAGAGCATTTTCTTTCTCTTTGGGGCCTTCCCCTAATGTTTTCTTTTCATTGTGTACTATTGTGGTGGGACTTTTGTGCATATATTTGCTATGAAACATCAAGTATTTTGCTTCTGGTAATTTCCAGGAATAAATCTAAAAGTAGTAAATTTGCAATTATGCTCTCTACCAGTCAGCAGGCAGGAAGTTTTAATGAAGAGGAAGGAAGCTAAGCTGTTGACTAGCCTACTGTGTTTTCTGTCCACAACCTGGAATCGACAAGAAACATTTTACATGCAAAAATGGGATGATCACATAATTCTATCTGCCTGCTTTTTTTCCTGGTTAAGCATTTTTTTCAACGTGTGTCTCAAAGTGCTTAATAATCACCTCGAGGAAACTAAAAAATACAGACTCCAGAACCTTATCTGCCTCATGAGTTAGAATCTCTGGAGTGGGGACTGGGAATCTGCATTTTAACAAGTACACTAAGGTTTGAACACAGCTGTTCTAGAATCACTTCTGTTGCTCAGGCAACTAAGATTTGTAAATACTTGTATTTAATTCCATTTTATGATTGAAATGTTATATATTAAATTTTTTTAAAAAACTTACTAGCAGATTGTTTTATGAAATAACAGTTAAAACTTTTCTATACTGAAACTGGATTTCAATATGATTTTGATGAACGGTGATGATAGGTAATGTTTAAACTATAGTACGTTTGTTAAAAACCTTTCTCTTTTGCTGACATCTAAAGTATTTTTTTTGTACTTAAGAGACTATACCTTTGGTAAAATAATACTATTCCTCAAAAGACTTTAAATTTACTTTTAAGAGTCACTTTCTCCCAAAAGTTTACCTTAATAACCTTAATAATTTCCTCCCAAAAGTTTACCAGAATAACATCTTGTTCTGAATTTCGTTGTGTTGCCCTTCTCTCACTTTTGGTTGAAATCTACTTGTGGAGTGCTTTTACTTAAAAAAAAAAAGTGTAAAAGGAAAATACTTTTATTTTCCTTTTACTAAGGGTTACTATTTTCCTAACCCTAACCCTTATTCAGGTAAGTGAATAAGACTTACCTGTCTTATTCACCCGGTTTGATGTCTGGCTGCCCCAAGTCAGTTCTATATTAAAAGGCAGGCGGATCACGAGGTCAGGAGTTCGAGACCAGCCTGGCCAACATGGTGAAACCCCATCTCTACTAAAAATACAAAATATTAGCCGGGCATGGTGGCATGTGCCTGTAGTCCCAGCTACTCAGGAGGCTGAGGCAGGAGAATTGCTTGAACCCAGCAGGCGGAGGTTGCAGTGAGCCGAGATCACGCCATTGCATCCAGCCTGAGTGACAGAGCAAGACTCTGTCTCAAAAAAAAAAAAAAAAAAAAAAGGCTGATCTCTATAGATACCAAAAGAATGTGACACAGACTCTGAAGAATAAATGTCTGAATCCCCCTGAATTCCTTCTTCCCCTGTGACCTCACATTCAGTCACTCACCAAACTGTGCCAACTCCAATTCATCCTCTCCACTCCTCTACCGCAGGCCCATTAATGATTCGTTTGGATCACCATCATCCTCCCAACCAGTCCTTCTATCATCTCTCTACCCATTCATCTTATTCTTTCTTAAATAAATATCTAATCATGTTATTTCCCTGCTTCAAAAACTTTCTAATTATTTCCCTGTTGTCTTCAAGATCAGACCAAACTTCCCAGCAACACTCTTCAAAATCTGATTCCAGCCTCCTGGTACAGTGTCATCTCTCCTCAGCACACTCCAGGTCCCTGACACACGAGCCAGTGTTTCTCCTATTCCCATTGCCTATAGGATTCCTCCCCACCCATGACTTGTCCCCCTGCCCATTTCACAAGAACAAGATCTTCTATCTTTGGGCCCACTTCACTCAGATGCGCTTTGCACATTTTCTACTATAGAACTTAATACTTAGCACTGTCATCAGGTAGACTATGCCATACCTGAAAACAATAAGAACTTTTTCAGGTTCCCATAAATTAAAATTTCAGTAAAACTTCTAGCCCAGGGTCTAGTGCAGTGGCTTTTTTATTATTTGCTTAAGAATTTAAACATGTTCTGAGCACAAGATCAGGGACTGTGAAGTCAGTGTGCCTGCGTTTGAATTGCAGCGCCTGAGATTACTCTGTAATTTATTACTCAAGTGACTTGTCACACAGTTTCTATTTTTCCTCATGAGTATAATGAAGGTAATGATAATACCTACCTCTTAGGGTTGTGGTGAGGGTTATGAGACTAAAACCTGTAAAAAACAAAACAAAACAAACAAACAAAAACCTCATAACTATACCTGGCACATTGTAACTATGCAACCTTATTATTATTATGAAAATAAGTATATAGCTTTTGAGGGTTCTAGCAAGAAACAGAAGTCATTTAAGATGGTTGAAATGCAGAAATACCATTTGACCCAGCAATTCTATTACTGGGTATATACCCCCCAAAATGTAAATCATAATGTTGGGTGTGATGGTTCACACCTGTAATCCCAGCACTTTGGGAGGCTGAAGTGGGCAGAACACTTGAGGTCAGGAGTTCGAGATCAGTGTGGCCAACATGGTGAAACCCTGTCTCTACTAAAAATACAAAAAAATTAGCTGGGCATAGTGGTGGGCACCTGTAATCCCAGCTACTCGGGAGGCTGAGGCAGGAGAATCGCTTGAACCTGGGAGGCAGGGTTTGCAGTGAGCTGAGATCGCACTACCGCCCTCCAACCTGGGCGACAGAGTGAGACTCCATCTCAAAAAATATATATGTGTGTGTGTGTGTGTGTGTGTGTGTGTGTGTGTGTATCATTCTATTATAAAGATACATGCACACATATGTTCATTGCAGCACTATTCACAATAGCAAAGACATGGAATCAACCCAAATGCCCACCAATGATAGACTGGATAAAGAAAATGTGGTATATATACACCATGGAATACTACGCAGCCATAAGAAGGGATAAGATCATGTCCTTTACAGGCACATGGGTGGAGCTGGAAGCCATTATTCTCAGCAAACTAACACAGGAACAGAAAACCAAACACTGCATGTTCTCACTTATAAGTGGGAGCTGAACAATAAGAACACATGGACACAGGGAGAGAGATACCACACACCAGGGCCTATCAGGGTGGCAGGGGGAGGGAAAGCATCAGGATAAATAGTTAATGCATGCAGGGCTTAATACCTAGGTGATGGGTTGATAGGTGCAGCAAACCTACCATGGCACATGTTTACCTATGTAACAAACCTGCATGTCCTGCACGTGTATCCTGGAACTTAAAATTAAATTAAATTTTTTTAAAAGATGGTTCAAATGAAAAGACACTTACATAGGTGTTGGCAGGGAGCAAGCAAAGGATGGGTGTGCAGAAACCAGTAACATCTGGGGCTAGAGTCACAGGGAGGAAATGATGTTTCCAGGACAAAGAAAGAGCTTAAGCATGGAGAAGTGTTGCAGCCCTTGAGAAGTCTGTAGCTGCCATGAAAGACATGATTCCAAAACAGGGAAGAGAAGACCATGAGGGCCCTGACCTCCCTTTCCTTCTGGGGCTTCTCCTGAGAAAACAACTGAGGCCATTAGGGAGCTCTGGGGATGCAGCCTGCAGGATCAGCCCCAGGCACAAAGCAGAAAATGACTCCTCTGGGGCTGCTGGGAGGATTCCAGCGCACGGGCTCATGAATTGAAAAGGAATTACAGGCCTTTGAACATATAAATTCTCACATATTTACTTAAACCCCAGCCAAATCACTCTAAGCACCATGGCAGGACTTGGCCTACATTCCAGATATTCTGCTCTGTGAAGCTCTCCCAGGGCACCATGATCTACTTAAAGCTGCCAAAAAGACTCTGACAGATGGTATTACTTGCTCACCTCAGTGACACGTATTTCTTGAGCAGCTCAACAGAAGACAGTCTTCTCACTCAATTACCCAAAGCCCAGCCGCCATTTGTAGCTTTTCTACCTTCCATACGTTTCCTCCCCTTGTTAGCTGCAATTTTCTTCTGTTCTGGGATCAAGGAAAAGACTTCCAGTTTCCTCCAGGAAAGGAGGACAGGTCCCTAAGGAACCTTTCAAATGAGAATGTAAATATTCTGTGAATACCATTTATTAAGGTAACCCTGGAGCCCAATATCATAAACTTTTCTACACTTAAGAAAAGTTGACTTTGTTTACTTTCAGTTCTCTCAAATGCCTACATCTTAGTTACCATTGTTAGTCATTTACAAAAATTAAAAATCTTAAATTCATCCTTCCTTTTTAAAAATGTAGTTCTTATTCCTGATAAATTATCTACAGAAGTTTTTGCAAAATGCTTTACTCCTACTTAATTATCTGCAGTTCATTACTTGTCCATGGGAAGTGAATTTTATTTCCCCATAAACTGTACTTTTTCTTTACTATCAAAGAATTTTATTTCTAACATATGTTGGCCCCTATTTTATTCATATCCTGGCTAATAATTTACTTGTCAGTATCCTTCCTGGAAATTTTCTTGAAAGCATCTTTGTGTTTCTTTCAAGGCCTAACATATATGAGTGATGTGCCCAAATTTTTTTGAGTTTCATTACATATCCAAGGACATTTTATAATTTAACACTTACTTGTCAGAAGAAGAGACTCAGAAGTTTCTGTCCCTTCCCACAGTGCTACAACCACTCATTTTAGAAAGGCCCTAATAAAATTTTACAACCATGTTAAAGTCAACCTTTTAGCAAGAGTAAAACCAAAATATCCACCTGAACGATGTTTCCTTGATTGGTTTTAACAAGCTTGATTTAAAGTTCTCTCATTAGTCATTTTATACCACTAATATGATAATCTGAAGGGCAGTTTGATAAGTTAATTGTTTCTGATCTGAATGGAAATTAAATTAATTTTGGTAGAAGACTAAATGCATATGATAAAACTTCACATGTTCTTTATTCTATATAATTCTCTCATTTGCCTTTTTTTACAATAGGAATTTGGCTTGGAACAAAATTGCTATTATTCACCCCAATGCATTTTCCACTTTGCCATCCCTAATAAAGCTGTGAGTATTCCACAACTTGTTTATGGTATGTCTCTTAATAATTGAGGACCATCTAGTTAATTTTAAAAGTTGGTTTTGTTGAAGAAGCTGGATATGCACAGATTACCTGCCTCTGTGTTCTCCATGCCTAGAGCTTGTCAGAGCCAGGGAGGAGTTCTGCTCCTCCAGGGCCACATGGGCCATTAAGTGGATAATTGAAGATTTGGGTGACACCTGGTTCTCATTATTCAGCTGAAGTTTTTTATTTGTGCTTTGTAATCAGGTGGAATGGAATAAGATGTCAATTCAGGTCTGAAGGGCTTCCATTTTATTTTATGCCATTTTGACTGATAGAGAATCTTCCTGTCCCTTCCCCCCACGCCAACTTCCCACCTCTTGCTCCTTCCTCTCCCCATCTCTTATCTAACAAAGAAAGAAGAAATTGGTTAGACAGAAGTTAGGAGAAGAGGAAGGGGAGTAAATACACCCCCTACACTTTTTACCTCTCACTCCTAATCTAGTCAGCATCACTTTTCAAATTAAATATAGCACCTTCCCCTTGATTTTAGATGTCCCCACCTGAAAAAATGAAGCTGAATATAGAACAATTTGAATACAATTAAAACCTTTTCTCCCCTACAATCCTGATTGTGAATAGAAAAGTTATCAAGAGCTAAACCAAAATGGTTACTTTTACCATTAAGAGTAAGGACCCTGCTTAGAAGTTTTTATTGAGTAGTTTAACGATCTTTAGGTTGTTGTTTTTTTTAACATAAACGTTTTATGCTAACATAGACTAAAAGCCAATTGTTGTTTGATGTTTTGCAGGGACCTATCGTCCAACCTCCTGTCGTCTTTTCCTATAACTGGGTTACATGGTTTAACTCACTTAAAATTAACAGGAAATCATGCCTTACAGAGCTTGATATCATCTGAAAACTTTCCAGAACTCAAGTGAGTTTGTCATTAAAACTAATAAGATACATTTGTGGTCATGTGAAATAATAGATGTATTATAGTGGTGTTCTAAATTTATGAGGTCGTGAGACACTTTTGAATTGCATTTCATGCCCTCAAGTCTCCTAACCCTGGAGCATTGTTAGGACAAGCCCTGAAGTGGGAAAATGTGTCCTCCTGACCATATTTCCTTTCCTTCTCAAAGATGCCTCCCAGAATCATAGAGTTCATAGGAGGAGTTTGAAAACAATTGATCCATGGAATATATATAAAAATAAACTAGGGCATGTAATTAAATAACATTATAACATTATTCTACTCTTGTTTACAATTTTTAATTTAGCTTGTATGTACCTAATAAAATGTACTAAATTAATATTTGTTTGAGGAAGTAATGCTGCTTAAAATCTGTTATGCTTATTATTGACAAAGAAGTATCTTGAAAGATTATGTATTTTTTAACCCACGGTAGTTTTTACATACTTTTAAAATTATGAAAATAATAAAACCCCAAAAGAGAGTTGGGAAAGCATAAGAGAGAACAAAAATCTTTTTTTTAATTTTTAATGTTTTTATTTTTTATGGTTACATAGTTGGTGTTTATATTTATGGGGTACATGAAATGTTTTGATACAGGCATGCAATATGTAATAAGCACATCATGGAAAATGGGGTATTCATCCCCTCAAGCATTTATCCTTTGAGTTACAAACAATCCAATTACACTCTTTATTTTAAAATGCCCAATTAAATTATTATTGACTACAGTCACCCTGTTGTGCTATTGAATAGTCGGTGTTATTTATTCTTTCTATTTTTTGTACCCATTAACCATCCCCACTTCCCCCCAAGTCCACCCTTCCCAGTCTCTATTAAGCATCCAGGAACAAAAATCTTAAAAATGCCACTCTAAACAACATGGTTAAGTTACTTCTTTCCAAGCTTTGTTTCCAGTGCATTTTTTATTGTTAGACTCAAAATGTGCATAGAAATATATGTCATATTGTAGTCACTTATTCTGCCATAAGCACTTTTTCATGTTGCTACAATTTTTCTTAGCAGCCTTTTTTTTAACCTTTTTATTTTGGAAATTTTCCATCATTTGAGTAATGGAAGTTGCATCACTCAGCTTCAGCAATTAACATTTCATAGTGATCATTTTTAATAACTTCATTGTTTTTATAAATAGCACTGTAATGAACACCTTTATGTGCATAACTTATACTTTGGATTATTTATTTAGGCTAAAATCCAAAGGTAGAATAATTGGGTGAAAGAACATGAACACTATATTTAATTATCCGTTTCTTTAAGTGTTTTTTGTTTGGGTTTTGTTCATTTAAAGGGTTATAGAAATGCCTTATGCTTACCAGTGCTGTGCATTTGGAGTGTGTGAGAATGCCTATAAGATTTCTAATCAATGGAATAAAGGTGACAACAGCAGTATGGACGACCTTCATAAGAAAGATGCTGGAATGTTTCAGGCTCAAGGTAGGACTTGCTATGCCATGGTAATGAAATTGTGTTGTGTTCAGTGGAACACATGGAAATGAATTATGTTTGATGAAAAGTCATCGAACAGGCCGGGTGTGGTGGCACACACCTGTAATCCCAACAGTTTGGGAGGCCGAGGCAGATGGATCACTTGAGGTCAGCAGTTCAAGACCAGCCTGGCCAACATGGTGAAACCCCTATCTCTGCTAAAAATACAAAAAAGTAGCCAGGCATGGTGGCACATGCCAGTAATCCCAGGTACTTGGGAGGCTGAGGTATGAGAATCGCTTCAACCCGGGAGGCAGGTTGATTCCAAAGCAAGCTGAGCTGAGATCACGCCACTGCACTCCAGCCTGGGCAACAGAGCAAGACTGTCTCAAAAAAAAAGGAAAAAAAATTATCAAACAGATTATCTGAACTTCAGACAAGTCCTTGTACCTCAGCAAATTGTGAATAAATCCCACTTTTTAAAGACTACTTGAGAAAGAGAAAACTAGCTCAGGATTTATCCTAAAATTTCATCTGTTCTGTAGGTGAATTCTTATATTTATATGTATAATTAGATTCCCCCTTAGCATATACTGTCCTCAGGGGTGATTACTGACATGATGTTTCCATCAGCTTTTTAAAGGGTCTGTTTCTGAGGATGTCTTTTTCATACGTACTTCAGAAACTTTTTCTCCAGAAGACAAAATCCATTTTCATTCTTATGGCCTGGAAGGATTGAAAGATATAAACATTTTAGATTCCTTCATATTTCAGCAGAAGGGCTAAAGAATCCTGCTTTTTGTCCAACTAATTCTAAATCATTCTCCTCACCTACCCCACCCCGGGGTATCTGTCTGGAAGGTGAAATGAGATAATGTCTGTAAAGCTTGGCTTTCCTTGAATTAAGACGTTACCTAAACAGACAACAATGCCTCTCAAACCACACCTGTGGTAATGAGGAGGTGCTTTGGGCACCACCCCCTGCCTTCCCTGCCAACCCTGCGAGTTTGCACAAAGTCTAAACAGACTAAACAGAAGGATGGCTTCTCATGCTTTGGGCCTTAATGATTTGTTGATTCCAAAGCAAGTATGATTCAGTCTGTCTGCAGATAACCTTACCAGTTTTTCCTGCATGTGTATCTGTTTAAGGAACTGATATCTTGGTCCTTGCCTTTTTTGTTTTAGGCCACAGCATGTGTCTTGTTCTTGTTCTTGCTTCAGTTTTTGCTCTTCCTGCCTCACCCACTCTAATTTCTCTCCAAAATTATTCACTCAAAACATAAAAACACAAGCAAAAAGTTATTAGAGAGCCTACTTTGTGCCAGGCACTGTTCTAGGCCTTGAAAGTACACAATGAACAACACAGAGAGAAGGTCATTCATGGAGTTTATTTTCAAAGGCAGTGATTCTCAACCCTGGACCACATATTACACTCACATAGCAACTTTTAAAAAATATTGGTCCCCAATTCCCACATGAGACCAATTAAATCTGTATCTTTGGGGAAATATGTTAGATCACAAAACTCCTATTTCATGGATAGCTAAACCAAGCACCAAGTAGTTATTTGTTTTGTCCTCTGTTACACAGAATTCCCCAGGGAAGACTGAAACTTACTGTGTCTGATTCTCTGGTGTTCAGAGAACACAGCCTAGAACATTTGCAGTATAGCTTTTATAGTGTTAGAAATTTGGATAAAGCGGTTCCTACTCTGAACGAAGAGGCCCATAGCCTCCTCTAATTTAGCTCTGCAATGTGGGGACATCATGAGCTGCAGGGAACACGAGCAGAATGAGAGTTTAGATGTTACACCCGGCGTCTTGGGTCACTCTCCCTCACCCCCAGTTGTACTAGAATAGTATGTCATAGCAGCTTGAGTCAAACATCCAAAGGCAACTTTATAATAACTTGCAAGAAAGCTAGAGCACAAGGAATTTGTGACAGTTCATGTCTCCAGAATAACCCAGGACTCTCCACTCTGGGATTTGGTCCCTTGAAAAGAGAGTCAGAACTAATCATTCCAGGACTTCTTGTGCTGCAGATGAACGTGACCTTGAAGATTTCCTGCTTGACTTTGAGGAAGACCTGAAAGCCCTTCATTCAGTGCAGTGTTCACCTTCCCCAGGTGAGAAAGGCATCAAAAATTCCTCAACGGCAGTATCCACCACTGATTCTGAGTCCATGAAAAACAATACAGCTATACTTTAAAAGCCGAATCTGTGCCAACTTTGCAGCTCATCAGTAACCCTCCCCATAGTGGCCTGTCAAATACAAATGTTCATTCCCTGGAGTTGTTTTTCACTTGCCAATAGGATTGAGGTGGGAGGACTTTTGATTTAACTTAATGTAAACGAAAGAATCAAGTATGTTGTTAGAGGCATATGTAATTTTTAAAATGATATTAGCAATTTACCCTGAAATAGTATGCTATAATCTTGTTTTGTGTAATCACCGACATTTGAAAGTGACTTAGGTTTTTCTTATAAATAACTATTTGGTAAAAGCAAATAATAGTTTGTACAGATAAGAGGAAGGAAGGAAGGAAGGAAGAAAGGAAGGAAGGAAGGAGAAGGGGAAGGGAAGGGAGGGGAGGGAAGGGAAGGGAAGGAAAGAGGAAGGGGAGGGGAAGAGATGGGAAGGGAGGGGAGGAAAGTGAAGTTGAATTCTTAATAGTTTGTCTCATTCCAAAAAACAGGATGAGCCAGTTGAAAAAAAGATAGCTAGGAAGAGTTGATATTTTATTTTTAACGAATAGATTGTCCCTTGCTCCCTAACCTCAAATTTTAATCTAAAACTAAGATGAGATTTTCATGAAATTCACATTCATAATATTACGGAGTATTTCCCTAGGATTCTCCTTGTCTGCCTATGGAAACTTATGGAAATATTCTGAAAACTTATATAATGAAAAGTCCAGGAGATCTGGCTTTTTACCTGGCTCCAACACAGCTGTATCTTAGAGACTTCAATTAAGTGATCGAAATTCTCCATTCTCATTTCTCCATCAATACCCTGGAACAGGAGCACCGGGTGTACTCACCCAGCCAGTGCTGCAGAAGATCCAGGGTGACAGTGGCTTGAGATAGTGGAGCATGCACATGGGCACTGTGTGTTATTAGGCTGTTTTTGACCATTATCTCTTGGCATCCTAAATAAAGAGACAAAAGGGTAATTCAGCAAAAGTTGTAAACCCTAATTTGATACTCAATCTTTGCCTTCCTTGGACTTCTAGGCCCCTTCAAACCCTGTGAACACCTGCTTGATGGCTGGCTGATCAGAATTGGAGTGTGGACCATAGCAGTTCTGGCACTTACTTGTAATGCTTTGGTGACTTCAACAGTTTTCAGATCCCCTCTGTACATTTCCCCCATTAAACTGTTAATTGGGGTCATCGCAGCAGTGAACATGCTCACGGGAGTCTCCAGTGCCGTGCTGGCTGGTGTGGATGCGTTCACTTTTGGCAGCTTTGCACGACATGGTGCCTGGTGGGAGAATGGGGTTGGTTGCCATGTCATTGGTTTTTTGTCCATTTTTGCTTCAGAATCATCTGTTTTCCTGCTTACTCTGGCAGCCCTGGAGCGTGGGTTCTCTGTGAAATATTCTGCAAAATTTGAAACGAAAGCTCCATTTTCTAGCCTGAAAGTAATCATTTTGCTCTGTGCCCTGCTGGCCTTGACCATGGCCGCAGTTCCCCTGCTGGGTGGCAGCAAGTATGGCGCCTCCCCTCTCTGCCTGCCTTTGCCTTTTGGGGAGCCCAGCACCATGGGCTACATGGTCGCTCTCATCTTGCTCAATTCCCTTTGCTTCCTCATGATGACCATTGCCTACACCAAGCTCTACTGCAATTTGGACAAGGGAGACCTGGAGAATATTTGGGACTGCTCTATGGTAAAACACATTGCCCTGTTGCTCTTCACCAACTGCATCCTAAACTGCCCTGTGGCTTTCTTGTCCTTCTCCTCTTTAATAAACCTTACATTTATCAGTCCTGAAGTAATTAAGTTTATCCTTCTGGTGGTAGTCCCACTTCCTGCATGTCTCAATCCCCTTCTCTACATCTTGTTCAATCCTCACTTTAAGGAGGATCTGGTGAGCCTGAGAAAGCAAACCTACGTCTGGACAAGATCAAAACACCCAAGCTTGATGTCAATTAACTCTGATGATGTCGAAAAACAGTCCTGTGACTCAACTCAAGCCTTGGTAACCTTTACCAGCTCCAGCATCACTTATGACCTGCCTCCCAGTTCCGTGCCATCACCAGCTTATCCAGTGACTGAGAGCTGCCATCTTTCCTCTGTGGCATTTGTCCCATGTCTCTAATTAATATGTGAAGGAAAATGTTTTCAAAGGTTGAGAACCTGAAAATGTGAGATTGAGTATATCAGAGCAGTAATTAATAAGAAGAGCTGAGGTGAAACTCGGTTTAAAAACCAAAAAAGAATCTCTCAGTTAGTAAGAAAAGGCTGAAAACCTCTTGATACTTGAGAGTGAATATAAGTCTAAATGCTGCTTTGTATAATTTGTTCAGCTAAGGGATAGATCGATCACACTATTTAAGTGAGCCCAGATCAAAAAAGCAGATTGAAATTTTCTTTAGAAAAGATTCTCCATGATTTGAATTGCATTCTCTTTAAACTCACCAATGTAATCATTTTGGGAGGAGGGAGAACCCACTTGCTTTCCAAATGGGTTTATTTAAACCCACAAACTCAAGAGGTTGTTGGGGGAATTAGGAAAATAAGGGTTTTCAATGACCTACATTGCTAGGTAGAGGCTGTGATCCATGGGATTTCATTCTAATGACCATGTGAAGATGTTTGAGTCCTCCTTTGCCTTTCCTCAGAAAGAATCCTTCTAAGGCACAAATCCCTTAGATGGATAATGTAAGGTATTGTTAACTCACTCATATTGAGATCATTTTTAGAGATACCAGGTTTTATGTATCAGCACTAGATGGTTCCACCCTCATGGGATAAAACTGCTTACAAGTATTTTGAAAGAAAAACTGACCAAAATTCTTAAATTGTTACTAAGGCAATCATGCACAGGTGACGTATGTCTTATCTGATTTGTTTTTAACTCCTTGGTGCCCAAAGCTCAGAAGGGAATTCCACTGCCAGCAATGAACATACCTGGAAAAGAAAGTAAGCAATCTGGGATTTTTTTTCTGGGTTAGTAAAGAATTTTTGCAATAAGTTTTATCAGTTGATTCAAACTGATGTGCATCTTAATGATCAAATGTGCACATTACATAAATTAAGTCCACTGATACAACTTCTTACACATGTATCTCTAGTAGCTCTGGCAAACCCAATATCTGACACCACTTTGGACTCAAGAGACTCAGTAACGTATTATCCTGTTTATTTAGCTTGGTTTTAGCTGTGTTCTCTCTGGATAACCCACTTGATGTTAGGAACATTACTTCTCTGCTTATTCCATATTAATACTGTGTTAGGTATTTTAAGAAGCAAGTTATTAAATAAGAAAAGTCAAAGTATTAATTCTTACCTTCTATTATCCTATATTAGCTTCAATACATCCAAACCAAATGGCTGTTAGGTAGATTTATTTTTATATAAGCATGTTTATTTTGATCAGATGTTTTAACTTGGATTTGAAAAAATACATTTATGAGATGTTTTATAAGATGTGTAAATATAGAACTGTATTTATTACTATAGTAAAGGTTCAGTAACATTAAGGACCATGATAATGATAATAAACCTTGTACAGTGGCATATTCTTTGATTTATATTGTGTTTCTCTGCCCATTTTCTTTAAATTCATTAACTGTATATATGTAAATATATAGTACTTGTAAATAGATTCCAAATTTGCTTTTCTATTGGGTAAAAAATAAATTTGTAATAAAATGTGTGACTATGAAACAAAATATTTTCAAGTCTATTTATTGAGCCCACAGGCAGATATATAGTCTCCTAAATGTTTTTAAGTTTTGGAGTATAAGTACCTTTGCTATTTAAGTATTTTTTTTTTTTTTTTTTTTGAGACGGAGTCTCGCTCTGTCGCCCAGGCTGGAGTGCAGTGGCGGGATCTCGGCTCACTGCAAGCTCCGCCTCCCGGGTTCACGCCATTCTCCTGCCTCAGCCTCCCAAGTAGCTGGGACTACAGGCGCCTGCCACTACGCCCGGCTAATTTTTTGTATTTTTAGTAGAGACGGGGTTTCACCGTTTTAGCCGGGATGGTCTCGATCTCCTGACCTCGTGATCCGCCCGCCTCGGCCTCCCAAAGTGCTGGGATTACAGGCGTGAGCCACCGCGCCCGGCCTGCTATTTAAGTATTAATATTTGTACTTAATACTCTAAATATATTGCACTTATCATAAAAAAAGCAATCTTTCACAAAACGAATCAAAATATCATTACCAACTCCTGAATTGTTTATGATTGATAAGCCATTTTGTCCTGACTTTTGTGAAGGTTATGATAGTTTGGATTTTATAAGCTAGAACTTTTATTGGTCTCAAACTTCTTTTGCAATATAAGAAAAATCCTCACAATTAGAAAGAAATATATGAATAACAAATCAACCTTAAATTATTTAACATGGACATGAGTTTAAACATGAGTTTAAAAACTCATGTACTTGTTAAATAATTCATTTGATGATTATGTCAAGGCCAAAACATGAGGACATGCAATTCCCAGGGCACAAAGAAACACACTGTTCCCCTTCGGTCCCCATCCCCCAAAACATGAGAAATGAAATTATTTTTCTAGACACCTGTGCCAGACCCTACCAGCTCCAGTGGTGATTCCTGCTCTCCTTGCATGGATTGCAAAATGAAACCATCAAGTACTAGTAGGAGGCACAGCATTATTGCTAAAATTAACACGTTTACAGAGCACCCACAGGGCACCTGGCACTGAGTTTTCCACCTACCCATCAGACTTAACCACATGCCCAAACCTAATTAACAGGCATCAAATGGGATCCTCTTTTGTGCAGTCCATGCTTGGCTTGGCTTATCTTCAGCTGAAACAAGAGCTCACTCCTCTTACTCTCCCACCTCTTAACCCAGGCAGCAGATATAAAAGTCGCCTCTAGAGGAATGCATCTCATTCTTTCTTTTCAATATACTTGCCCAAAGTCAGGAACAAGTCCTGGCAGCCCCTTTGTCTCCCGCTCAAGAAAACACAAGTCAGTAATGTAATTAAAAAAAAAAAAGACACTTAAATTCACTCCAACTTATTTCTTTAGATAAATCCACAGGCTTTATTATTTTATTGACAAAACACTAGTTATAATACACCTTACACAAAACACTGCCATCTGATAAATGTTCTCCACTCTAATATAGCATAATCAGAAAGAACTTGAATTACATCCACAAATAAATAAATCTACAGTGAGAAGGGGAAAGATGTACTGTTCAGACATTGAACAACAGTAAAGAACAAACCATGGAACAAATTTGTAAAAACCATAAACTGTGAACTAGCTTAAAGTAAGGCAGTAACAATTTTGTTTCCAAAAACAGGTTCATTCATTCAACAAGTATTCTGCACCATTATGTGCTGTATTCTATGCACTGCGGATAACAAAACAAGGTCTGGAATTCGCATTCCAGCGGAGGGGAGATAGACAGTAAACAAATATAAACATGGAAATATCCGATAGAAACATAAATGAAGGAAATGAAGCTATTTTAAATAGTCTATTGGGAATAATTAGTGTGGTGCTTTAGAAATGGAGCTCCGGAAAGGCCTCTCTGGAAAGCCACCTTTTAGGCTAAGACCTTATGCTCACAATGGAGCTACCTTTGCTTTTGAATTTAACCAGTTACATCAAAAAACTCATCATTTCTAGTCCCTCTCTTCATATGTCACCTATAACTATTTTCAGGGACATTTTAATAGAAAAATATATTAGGTGGCTGTTACTGCACATCATTTTTTTTCAACTGTTACAGAAGAGAAAATCATTCTTATATGAAATAAAAAACATCTACTCATTTAGTTTTGGCTAAAAATATAACAATAAAGCAGTAAAAGGAAATAAAATTAGCAACACCTTCTTCATTTAGAACCAGAAAAACTCTAACATATGAAAAAGTAACAATGTCCTGCTTCTTTTGTTAATCTTATCACATTTAGTTCAGAGGCCCATCTGATGAGAAAGAAGTCCTAGATAAATAGATGGGATTGCTGTGACCCTACTGGTTCCATTCATGCTCTTCAGTACTGGAGATTTGATTTTACAGTTCCACTATGCAGATAAAAGAGACTATCTTCCTATGGGCCACTAAACACTAACTATTTTCTCTCTCAGGCCACAGAGACCCTTAACTACAATTAGGTTATGGTCACTTTTCCTTGCAAGTGAAGTGGGGAGGGGCTGTGTAGCCATATCCCCATTTCGATGTCCTCCTTATGAACATTTCTAAAGATGTTGAACTCAGATTCTACACTGACTCGTTCATCTCATACACAAGTTCCTGAAGCCTATTGGGTAGGATGATAAAACTTCAGAAACGGGCAGAAAATGCATGTGATAGGCTGGAGAAGCATTATGGAATACAGGTTCATACTCATTGTGGACATGACTTTCCACTCTAGAGACAGTACTTTATGGGAATGTTGAAAACATGCTACTCCATGAGAATAGTGAATGAAACAGTGAGTGGAATAGGGAAATGATATCCTATCAAATAATAGTCTAAAAAATGGAGAATGTGTCACCTGGAGAAAAGCAGGCTAAAGGAAAATATTTAAAATATTTGAATAATTGAAATTTACTAAGTGCTTTCTTAAGTACGAGCCTATAGTAGGCCAAATAGTAAAATGATTAAGCTCAACTGCCAGACAGACCTGGGTTCAAATCCTACTTCTGTTACTATCTGTGTAATCCTTGGACAAGGTATTTAATTTTTTTCAGCCTCAAATTTCTCCTCAAAAAAATGGGCATCACACCACCAGCCTCATAGGATTGGAAATACTAATAACTCAGTGTATATAAAGTTACCATCACACTACCTGAAAAGCATTGAATAGTACGTATTTAATTAATGGATCCTGTGTTTCCCCCTCTTTTGACAGCCTTATGGAATGAGCAAAGCAGGCCTTGTCATTTTGCCAATGAAAATATAGAGTCAGAAGGATAAGTGACTTGCGAAGGTCACAGATGAGGAACTAGGACTAAAACCCAAGTTTCGCTTAATAGCACTGAAAAACAGTCATAGAGTAAGCTGACTTACTCTTTAAGAGAACAAGAACCAACTGGTGAACGATTCAGAGAGACAGATTTGGCTTACCTAAGAAAGATTCCATCAGGTCTCTTGTATACCAAAAAAAAACTATCATATTGAGTGAGAAGTTAGATCAAATTACAGCTAACTTTCCAATGACGAACATTTTGGATGAATGCTTGTTAGTCTTCTCAGAAGGAATGCCAGATTCAGAAGATTGCTGAGGAAGGCAATGAGACCTTATATCAACATCCTGAAACGAGAGGGTATATAGTTCTGTGTCACAAGTGGGTGGGCATTTCTCAGTCCATTCAGCATGGTGAAGGATAAAGACGTGAGATTTAAGCCCACTTGTTACAGACCTGCTGTGGAACACTAGAAAAGCCCCTTCATTTTTTCAGCTCCTGACTGACTCTGATCTTTGCCCTCAAACTACTGATGAAACAATATCAACTCTTTAAGGTTCTAGCAGGTTTGATGTCTGTTCTTTCTACTGCTCTCTCTCCCCACGTAGTGAGAAATACAGATAAAAGTCAAGTAAGCCAGAGCCACAGTCCCAAATCACAGAAATACCATCACCAAAGAGCAATAGATGGCAAAGTTAAGACATCACACATCAGATTGTCTCTTTAGCTGCTGACAGTCCTCAGATGTCTACCTGTCACTCTATTTGCTGCCTGCCTTCCTTCTTCCTTCATATCATTTTTGATCCAAGGCTGTAAATATTAGATTACTGAGGTGAAATATTTAATGACTGTGGTTAGTTAGCCTCTTTTGATCATAAGTCATGATGGAGAGTAGAGAGTTATTGGGAGGACACATGTGGAAATAAGAAAAACAGGAATCTGGCTGGGCACGGTGGTTCACGCCTGTAATTCCAGCACTTTGGGAAGCCGAGGCGGGAAGATCACCTGAGGTCGAGAGTTTGAGACCAGCGTGGTCAATATGGTGAACCTTGTCTCTACTAAAAATACAAAAAACTAGCCAAGTGTGGTGGCATGTGCCTGTAATTCCAGCTACTCAGGAGGCTGAGGCAGGAGAATAGCTTGAACCCAGGAAGTGGAGGTTGCAGTGAGCCGAGATGGTGCCATTGCACTCCAGGTTGGGCAACAGAGTAAGACTCTGTCTCAAAAAAAAAAAAAAAAAGAGGAAAGAAATAAAAGAATGGCTACTCCATGGACAGAGCAGCCCCAATGGCTGCTGGTTGCTCATTTTTATGGTTATTGCTTGATAATATGCCAAACAAGGAGTATATTATTAATACCTCCCCTTTTTAGACCATATAGGGTAACTTCCTGGCATTGCCATGGTATTTGTAAATTGTCATGGTGCTGGCAGGAGTGTAGCAGTGAGGACAACCAGAGATCACTCTTGTCGCCATCTTGGTCTTGGTGGATTTTAGCCGGCTTCTTTACTGCAAGCTGTTTTATCAGCAAGGTCTTTATGACCTGTGTTTTGTGCCAACCTCCCATCTCGTCTGTGACTTAACAATGCCTTAACCATCTGGGAATGCAGCCCAGTAGGTTTCAGCCTCATTTTACCCAGCTCCTAGTCGAGACGGAGTTGCTGTGGTTCCAACAGCTTTGACAGTTGCAGTGAGCCAAGATCATACCACTGCACTCTATCCTGGGTGAGGGAGTAAGACCCCGTCTCAAAATAAATAAATAAGAAGTGGAAGGCTTTAACCCAGCTCTGGGATAGAGTGTTCTTATTGTCCCCTTCACCTTATGGATTTCTCACCAGTATGGTGACCCAGTTTTTCTTTGTCTTTGTTTCAAACACTTCTGTTGCTTCCAATTGATCATCTCTATTCTGTATTCTTTTCTTTCGTAGAGATAGAGTTTTGCCATGTTGCCCAGTGCCCACGCTGGTCTCGAGCTCCTGGGCTCAAACTCCTGGGCTCAAGCGCTCCCCTGGCCTTGGCCTCCCAAAGTGCTGAGATTACAGGTGTGAGCCACTCCACCCAGCCCAATTGTCTAAATTCTGTAACTTTTCTCTATGGCATAACTTAATTTGCTGGTGCTTATTTGTTTACTTCAGCCCATTTCCCCAACACTTCCCCTACAAGGTTTTCCCTGAGGGCATGCACTTCCTACTAATTGCCTTGCCTCAATTCGAATCTTCTGCTTCTCTAACAGGGAAAGAATCTGGTTGCTCATTGTTTGTCCCTGTGGGACAGAGCCCTGGGGGCTGGGCCAGCTGGAGGTTCGTAGAAGTCACTGCTCAGACTACAGGTAGGTGATTGCAGGAGGTCAGGGTCACATGGCAAAACCCTGATTAGCTAAACTTTCACTTTTCTCTCCAGGAGACCATGGGCAAGGATCTTTTGGAAGCTTCTAGGGGCAGCAGGCTCTTTATTGGCCTGTTCTGTACATATGACTCACTATAGACAGAATGTTTTATGTCCCCCACCCCAAATTCATATGTTGAAGCCTAATCCCCAGTGCAATGGCATTTAAAGATGGGGCTTTTGGAGGGTGATTAGGTTGTAAGGACAGAAACCTCAAGAATGGGATTAGTTCCCTTATAAAAAGGGACCCCAGAGAGCACCCTCAGCCCTTCTACCATGTGAGCACACATTTAAAAGATGGTGTCTATGAATGAAGAAGTAAGCCTTCACTGAATACTGAATCTGCTGACTCCTGGATCTTGGACTTCCAAACCTCCAAAACTGTGAGAAATAAATTTCTGTTGTTTATAAGCCATCCAATTGATGCCATTCTGTTATAGCAACCCAAGGGACCAAGACAGACTAATTTTGATTTCCCTTACTAAGGGAGGCAGATTGGGGGTACTAATCCAGCCCATGACCCCATATTTGCAGTTGTTTTCCAGCCACAACCCCTAACACATCCTCTGTGGAATTGACCTAAGCCAGAGCAATCAGATTCTTTTTTCCAAGAATTGAAAATTAGGGACACTGGGAGACACTAACTCAGTCAGATCATGAGGGGAAGGTGCTTGAACTGAAAGACCAAACAGAATTTTGGCTGGCAATGACACCATGAGAAGCCAAAATTATGTGTAAATTTAAGTTTTGAGAAGCAGAAATGGCCACTATAGTGAGAAAAACAAAAGGCTGGGGTAGCAAGAAAAAGGGAGTTGAAAATGCCAAGCAGCTCCATGAATGATAAAGTTTCTAGACAGTTCCATTCCCTGGGTGGCTTGGTCATGTTTTTTGGTCCTATTTTTAGGTGTCTAGGAATTTGCCTGTTGTGTTATTTCAAGAAACCTCTTTTATACTTGAACTAGTTTGAAGAACTTTCTATAGTTGTTATTGTGCCTCACAAAAAAACCACTCTCCAACAAAATACCCACCCCCGACTGTCCAAAACGTTTGTAAGTATAGCTGTATTGTCTTTCCTAAACGTCTGGGTAAGATCTTCTTAGCCTCTCTTTCCCAGCTCAGGTACAGTTTCCATTGCCACAGGGGAAATACAGCAGGAACCCACTAACCCTTCCATGAATCATCATTCTATCCCTCATTTTCTATGGTCATTTACTCTGCTTATTACATTAGATATATTTATACAACATCCAAAACAAAGTAGGCAGTTACATACAATACATACAGTACATACAGATGGAATTTTTTACCTTGTGAAAAGAAAAGTAAATAATAAATACATAAATAAATAAATCTTGGAAATCTTGGTACCCCAAAATCACTAAGCTAAAGGGAACAGTCAAGCTGGGAACTGCTTAGAGCAAACCTCCCTCCCATTCTACTCAAAGTCATCCCTCTGCTCACTGAAATGCATATCTGATTGCCTCCTCTGGAAAGGATAATCAGAAACTTGAAAGAATGCAACCATTTGTCTCTCACTTACCTGTGACCTGGAAGTCCCCTCCCTGCTTGAGTTGTCCCACCTTTCTGGACGGAACCAATGTACATCTTACATATGTTGATTGATGTCTCATATCTCCCTAAAATGCATAAAACCAAACTGTGCCCTGACCACCTTGGGCACGTGTCATCAGGACCTCCTGAGGCTATGCCATGGGCACGTGTCCTCAACCTTGGCAAAATAAACTTTCTAAATTAACTGAGACCTGTCTCAGATTTTTGGGGTTCACAACCTAAAACTCTATTTTTAAAAACTTCCTTTCTGTCTTCAAGTAAGAAATTTGGACAAAGAGAGCGGTAGAAATAACTGCAAGGGTTCTGGGATCAGACACCCCTAGGCTTGAGTGCCAGCACCACCATTTACCACCTGGATAACCTTAGGCATATTACTTAATTCCTCTAAGTGGTCATTTCTTTGTTTATAAAATGAGAATAATAATAATAATAATGGCTTATTTCCTCACAGCTTATTTACTCCTTACTGAGGAATTATTAATATCAAAGTGTTTAGTATACCATACATGCTCAATAAAGGTGTAGCCATTATCTAGAGTTTGGATTGGCACAATAAATAGAACCTCTTTTCTATGCCTTTGCCCCAAACCTATTAAAAATGGGACAAACAGAAAAGCAACAGAGGTAAAACATCACCTTCATTACCAATAAAGCTGATCGAAGATGGCAGGGTTTTTATCCACCGGCAAGTAAGCTTCCTAATAATTAATGTGAGAATTCCGCAGATTTGTCCACTGAGACACAGAGAACATCAGACACCACAGACCTCCCCACACGGAAGTGTGCTTCTATAAAATAACAGCACGGGAGAACAGAGCCAAATGTAACCATGTTGGGGACAGTAACAGAAGGAAGAAAAAATAGAGTTCTAAATTCTAATAAGATATGTCACGTATCCTCCCTATGGAAAAATCAGTAAGAGGCTGGCATGCTGCCAGGGGTGTTACTCTAATAGAGCTCCCTCCTATGGAAGGAAACATCAGGGAGTGAGTGTGATTTCTCCCCTAGACTTCATTACGTTTTGTTCTTTCAGTGTAATCTATGAGGCTCACCCTGTGGGACTGTGATAAGCCAGAAGTGTGGCTGTCCTCTCAGAGGAGGATCTCAAGTGCAGACAGAACAGTTTTATTCCACCTTCACAAAGCTGTTTCCCAGCTTCTGGAGTTATCTTCCTGGGACCAGGAGGAGCGGGAGATTTGGTCTCTAGAAGGCTCTGTGATGTCATGTTACCAAAATACCCTGTTTTTTTCTCAGCTTTCAAATATCTTAGACTTGCTTAAGATCAGGGTAGTCTATATGAAAACATACACTCATCTGTGGACACAGCCTCTATAAACCTCAATAATCTATCAAGACAAAAATACCACATAGCTGAAGATTCAAACCTCATACTGGATTTGAAAGGTTCTGACAAATAGCATCCTTTCCCTTGGCCTGAGTTCTAAACAGTGAGAAACAAGAAAAAATAATAAGGCAGATATGTATCAATCTGCCACATTTCTTAATCATAAACTTAATATTTAGAATGTGCCTTAAATATCTCAGCAATGAGCTCTCCAGAGCTAGTCATATTCTTTTCCCAGTCACAGGCAGCATTGGATGGCCACAGCCTCCCCACAGGGAGGCAAGACGCCCTATAATCCTGGAGCTGCAGAACTCACGATCCAAGTGGACAGCCTCGTTCCAAATTTTAAAAAAAGAGGAAGGGGCTAACCCAAGCAGGCCAGATTCCTTTCCCAAATGCTCCAATAAAATCTATTATTCCTGCTCCCCTAGGAGAAGACGGTGAATGAATATACCAAAAGGCAGGGATAGTGACATTAATGGAGCTCCCTCTACAGAGAAGGAAGTATCAAGAATGAGGCATATAAACTGGGCGTGGTGTCTCATGCTGTAATCCCAGCATTTTGGGAGGCTGAGGCAGGAGGAATGCTTAAGCCCAGGAGATCAAGACCAGCCTGGGCAACATGAGTCCCACATCTCTACCAAAAATCAGTAAAAATTAGCTGGGCATGGTGGTACACGCCTATAGTTCTAGCTACTCAGGAGGCTGAGGTAGGAGGATAGCTTGAGCCCAGGAAGTTGAGGGTGCAGTAAGCCACGATCACACCATTGCACTCCAGCCTGGTGACAGAGCAAGACTGTCTCAAAAACAAACAAACAAACAAAAAAATGAAGAATACCTTTTTACTGCTAATAACTATTATTTTATTATTAAGTATATTTTAAGTGGATGCTTGTCTGGAAAAGCCAGCCTGTCATAATAGTTATTATAAGGACTTGATCCATGTCAGGTGGTATGTTGGGTGCTTTATGCAAAATATGTCACTTAATTAGGATACAAGCCTATGAGATGTGTCTTGTTATCACTGCCATTTTGTAGATTAAGCAATAGCACAAAGATTTGTTAACTTGCCTAAGATCATTCACGTAGTAAATAGGGGAGACAGGTCTCAGAGACATTTCTTTTAACAGCTACACTAGTGATTTTCAAACTTGTTAGAAATGCACACTTGTTAGAAATGACAGGCATCACTCCCGTCTTACTGCATCAGAAATTCTGGGAGTGGAGTCCAGCAATCTGTGTTTTCATATGGCCTCCAGGTGATTCTGATGCAGGCTAAAGTTTAAGAACCATTTTACTGACTACAGGAGTAGACCTTAAGAGAGAATTGAGCTATCATTCCTAGGGCAAGGGAGAATAGGAAATTAAAAGTGGTTATCCTGAGTCCAGGGTAAAGGGTTGTAGTGGTAAAGGGTTGTAGTGAAATTTTATTTCATATTTTTAAAAAATGAGTAAAAATGTTGGCTAAAGCATTGACTAGGAGAAATATTTATAGAATTGGGTAAATATCTTTTTGTATTTTTTTTTACATTTGTCTATACAAAATTTATGTAGCACACATTTAGAAAAATGTAACTATTCAGTAAACATTCATTGAGTGGGTACCTTCAGGGGTAATATAATACAGTGACTGAGCATTCAGATGCTGAATCCAATTAGCCTGGTGCCATGGTCTGAATATCCTCCAAAGTTTATGTTTTGGAAATTTAATCCCCAATGCAAATGTTGAGAGTTGAGTTTTTTTTTCTTTTATGAGATGATGGATTTATTTATTATCTGGATTGCAGTGATGGTAATGTACACCAACTCGCCTAATTGTATATGTTGATTATGTGCAGTTTTCTGCATACCAATTATAACTCAATAAATCTGGCAAAGAGATAATTATTTAAAGCAAAAATATTAAGAATGTATTTTGAGGTTTGGAACAGATGTAAAAGTAAAATATTTGAGAATAATAGTGCAAATGATGGCAAAGAAAAAATGCAAATAAGCTGCTATAGGGTTATTTTTTTGTTTTTTTGTTTGTTTTTAATTTTATTATTATTATACTTTAGGTTTTAGGGTACATGTGCACAACATGCAGGTTTGTTACATATGTATACTTGTGCCATGCTTGTGTGCTGCACCCATTAACTCATCGTTTAGCATTAGGTATATCTCCTAATGCTATCCCTCCTCCCTCCCCCCATGGGGTTCTTATAATATAGGTGTTGTAGTGTATTATTTAAAGATAGACTGTGATAAGGCTTTTTTGTTAATTAGCCTGATTTGGTCATTCTACATTGTCAACATATAACAAAACATTACATTGTGCTTTATAAATATATACATTTAAAAAAATGTCAACTTTCTTTTTGGATTTAGGGGGGAACATGTGCAGGTTTGTTACCTGTGTTATACTGTGTGATGCTGAGGTTTGGGGAACAATTGATCCCATCACCCAGGTACTGAGGAGAATAACCAATAGTTAGTTTTTTAACCCTTGTCCCCCTCCTGAGAGGTGGGATTTTTAAGCGGTGATTAAATCATGAGGGCTCTTCCCTCTTGAAGAGATAAATGCTGTTTATCAAGGGAGTGAATTCCTAATAAAAGGATGACTTTGGCCCCCTTCTGGGCTCTCTCTCACACTCTTGTGCTTTCTTGCCCTTCTGCCTTCTGCCACGGGATGACAGAGAAAGAAAGTCCTTACTAGATGTGGCCCCTCAATCTTGAACTTCTCAGCCTCAAGAACCATAAGCCCAATAAACTTGCATTGTTTATAAATTACCCAGCCTGTGGTGTTCTGTTATAGCAACATAAAATGAACCAATACACCTGGGTTCCAATCCCAACTCCAACTTTCAAAAGTTGTGTGATCCTGGCAAGTTTCTTTAGTTCCCTTTCTTCAGAGTGCTCATCAGTAAAATGGAGTTGATAAAATCATATTATACTGTATCTGTCAGCAAAGTTCACTTTCCAATTGCTATTGGCTGCATGTTTGTGTCCCTCCAAAATGCATGTGTTATATCCTTATCCCTGAGGTCATGGAATTAGGAGGTGGGGCCTTTAGGGACATGATTAGGTCATGAGGGCATAACCCTCATCAATGGGATTAGTGCTCTTTTAAAAGAGACCCCAGATAGACAGCCCTTCCACCATATAAGAACACAGATAGAAGGTACCATCTATGAAGAGTGGGCCCTTAGCAGACACCAAATCTGCCAGCTTGGACTTCCCAACCTCCAGAACTGTGAGAAATAAATGTTGTTTATAAGTCACCTAGTTTATGGTATTTTTGGTATAGCATCTGGAATGAACTAAGACACAAATTAACTATAAAAATAAAAAAAGTAATATAGGTCATGGAGCTATATTAATTATAGGAAAGGTTTTATTTTCATTGGAGGAATATGCTGTTCCTGTATACCTGATACTTATCTAACTTCTCAAATTTTACATCTCCATTTCATAGTAAGAAAATGATCTTGCTTGATGTTCTGGTTAAAACTTGCTAACAACTGAGAGGTTTATTGGAAGCAACAACAAGGAGGTGACCCACAAAAAAGAAAAAGAAAAACTTGTACTTTTTACCCAAGACTTTTGTCCTAAGAAGAGCAGAATTGGCCCTCTGGGGTACAGAGGGCCTTTGATCTAAAGTGGACCAAATGTAATTTCTTCAGATTAACATAATTTTATTTGCCAACATAACTTTATTTCCCAATGGCAAAATAAGAATTCCTGATATGTCGTTTTGTTACAATTAGATAAAGATTGTTTAGCTGATTTTACACTCTACAATCTCTGGAATATTCAGAGATTTTTCTCTGAATACGTTTGTAATAGAAGGAAAATTTAAATATTTTTAATGTATGACTGGAGCTATCTATCCCAGCCAAATTTCAGTGGAGATTGACGACTCTTCTATACAATTTATTTTTCTAATTTTAAGAGTTTATGGACCATACGATGTACAGTGTGTTGGGCTGGATATGTGCATGGTTAAATATGGAGAATTGCAGAGAGTAAAGCTGCACACAGCTGATTAAGAAGCATCAGGATAAAGAGAAATGGATGCAAGCCTATTGATAAAAGGAGTTATCCCAGCATTTGGTTATACACATCATTCATTGCTTCTTTGGCTCTAGACAAAAAAAAAAATGAGTTTTGACATGGGAAAGTCAGTATGCCTAGTAGATATGGCCTGTTTCAAAGAGTTAGTTTGACCACTCTCCAGCAAAACATCTTTCCCCAATTTTGATACAATTATGAATTAAAGAACTGATAAGACTACTCTTCATTAATTTTTTTGAAATGTAAAGGCAGTCGCAACTGAATAAGTATTCTTTGCTTTCATACTCCCCTATTTCCCCCATCCAAGCAAGATTAAAATCCATTTCTGATTGGATCAGTAGCCCTAGAAGTAATGTGAATATGGGTGTGAGATCTGCAAGTCACTCATTGTTTCACTCCCTCCTCTCCATAGAGACTGAAGAGGCTCCCAGCTGTATAAGCTGCACCTGGAGCTATTGAAGAGTCTGGTTGCACAAAGCAAAGTGCTTTTCCCATCACTGTAGTAGCCAGGCTCCAAGACAACCTACCAGTGATCTTCACTCACTGGTATTCACACCATTGTATAATCCCCTCCCATATTATATTAGGTAGGTTTGGTCTGTGTGACTAATAGCATATGGCAGAAGTGACAGTATGTTGATATGGTTAGGTTTTGTGTCCCCACCCAAATCTCATCTTGAATCATAATCCCCATAATTCCATGTCAAGGAGAAGATCAGGTAGAGGTAATTGAATCATGGGGGCCATTTCCTCCATGCTGTTCTCGTGGGAGTGAGTTTTCACAAGATCTAATGTTTTTATAAGGGGCTCTTCCTCCTTTGCTCAGCACTTCTCCTTCCTGTCGCCTTGTGAAGAAGGTGCCTTGCTTCCCCTTCTCCATCTGCCATGATTGTAAGTTTCCTGAGGCTTCCCCAACCATGCTGAACTGTGAGTCAATTAAACCTCTTTCCTTTATACATCACCCTGTCTCAGACAGGTCTTTATAGCAGTGTGAAAATGGATTAATACATATGTCATTTCCAGGATTAGGTTATCAGACCAAAACTTCTGTTTTTTTCTCTCTCTCTCTTAGCCCACTAAGTCTGAGGGAAGCTAGTTGTCCTGCCATGAAACCACTCAAGCAGCCTAGGGAGACATTTATACGGTGACATCTATATGGTGACAAACTGAGGCCTGAAAACAACTGTATGAGCAAGCTTGGAAATAGATCCTTCAGCCCCAGTGGAGCCTCAGATGACTGACTGAAGCCCCAGCCTATAGCTTGATTCAACTTCATAAGTGACCCTTAGCCAAATCACGCAGCTAAGCACCAACACTGTGATATGTGTTTGTTACTTTAGGTTGGTAAGTTTTGGGATAGTTATGCAGCAATAGATAACTAATACAATCTTCCTGTGAGTAAGCAAGGAGTTATAGTTCACTTAAATTTCAAGAGCACTTCAATATTTAAAACTTGGGAAGCCAGAAGTATTCCTTAGCATCAGTTTTGGAGTAAAGAGCATTGGTAAGGATGAAATTTAGTGGTTAGTTTTGTGTTTCTGAAACCTGGCAGGCACACACCGCATAATGGAACAGTAAGCCTAAAGAAAACTATGTAACTTGTTGCTACTGTATCACAGACATTAAGACAGATGTCCCAGTGATTTGGGACCACATTTCTTTATTCTTTTGTATTTTAAACAATGGAAATCCATGCATTTCTCTCTGGCCTGGAGCAGTGCTTCTCAAATTTTAATGTGCATGAGATCACCTTGGGATCTTATTAAAATGCAGATTCTGATTCAGTGGGTCTGGGTAGGGCCTGAGACTCTGCATTTCTAACAAGCTTCCAGATGACCCTGATGCTGTAGATCCAGAACCACACTGAGCGGCAAAGGCTTAGATCACTATAATCTTTTTAGCACATTCCCTACACCAGGGAAGCTCCAACTGAAAAAGCCGTATTTTCTTTTCATCTCTCTGCAAGTGCCATCCCATCCATCAATACTAGTTTCCAAACCTTTATTGTAACTTTCTTTTGCCAAATAAAGGTTCAAACTCAATTATTCCACTTTTTGTCTCTACTTGTTCTTCTTCCTCTAGTGAAGTTTTAACAAGCAATGAGACCCCACCACTAATAAGTCGTTTTTTTCCTTTTTTTTATTTTTTGACAGAGTCTTGCTCTGTCACTCAGGCTGGACTGTAGTGTCACAATCTCGGCTCACTTCAATTTCCGCCTCCTGGGTTCAAGCAATTCTCCCACCTCACCCTCCTGAGTAGGTGGGACTACAGGCGCAAGCTGCCATGCCCGGCTAATTTTTGTATTTTTAGTAGAGACAAGTTATGCAGCAATAGATAACTAATACGATCTTCCTGTGAGTAAGCAAGGAGTTACAGTTCACCATGTTGGTCAGGCTGGTCTCGAACTCCTGATCTCAAGTGATCTGCCCACCTCAGCCTCCCAAAGTGCTGAGATTTACAGGCATGAGTCACTGCACCTGTCCATCCTTTTCTTATTATTATGAAACACTACCCTAACCCACATTTCCAAGCTTTCTATCCTCAAATAGCTTCTACTATCTCACATCTCTTATGGCTAAGCCCTTTACTAGTATGCTCTTATTTTATCCTGACAACTCCAAGTGAAATAAGCACTAGTAGTAATCCCATCTTAAAAATGAAGAAATGTTGACTTAAGAGTTAAGTGAACTTTCTGCTGATTATACAGCCAAGTTTTCTATCCAAGGAAAATCCAAAAAGAATTTAAGCACTATGGCTATATTTATTTCCCTCCTGAAACTTCTCAGCCCTACCCCCTACCTATCTAAACATGCAATTCTCTTGCTTTCATACCTCTCAACTTAGATCACAATTCATACAATTGTAAGAACTCATACCATCTTTTGTCCTCATTGTCCAATGACTTAATCAGTGATGTTACATTCTGCAGGCATACACCCACAAATGTGTAAATTTAGTGTTTTCAGAGGACAAGAACCTATACTGAGTCTCAGAAGCTCAATTTTTAGTTTTTAAATTTTTCTTAGAGACAAAGTCTCATGTTACCCAGGCTAGAGTTTGGTGGCTATTTACAGATGTGATCATGGCACACTGCCTCCTTGAACTGGGCTCAAGTGATCCTCCCACCTTAGCCTCCCGAGTAGCTGGGACTACAGGTGTGAGATGCTGTGCAGAGCCAGGTCAGTTTTTCAAATGGGCAGAAGAGGTAGTCAGTAAGAATGAAAAAGTTTGAATGCCTGAAGAATTCATGGTTATCTGATTTCAGACACAACGAATCCTGCTATTACCAAGAATATGTCTTTCCTCACCTCTTGGCTCTGCTTTCCTCTTGGGCCTCACTTCCAGTGGGCTCTTAACAGTGCTGTGTCAAGGCAACTACCCCACTGTTCCAGGCTTACATTCCCCTAACTTAGTGTAGCTGTGTAACAAAAAGAAAGCGCCTCTTTCTCAATAATTCCCTCAAAGTTCTCAGGATTGCTTCTCAGTGGACCAATTTTACTCTAGGGGATTTTTAGGTTGCAAATTAAGGGCATGCACTTGGAAGTCAACTTCCTGGGTTTGTCATTTACTATCTTTGTGACCCGGCTAAGTTAATTTCTCATGACTCAGTTTACATTTGTAAAATGAAGATTACAGCAATATCTCATAGGGTTGTTGTGAAAATTTAAATAAATATTCCTTGAGCACTTACAATGGTGTGACAGACTAACATCTCAACAAAGTGTTAGTTGTTATTAAATGACCATTTATTAAGTTTCCAGACCAGCTAGGTCTGGGAAATGTGCTTTCAGCTTCCCTATTCCAAACTCAAGATTATAGAGTAGAATTAGAGAACTAGAAGAGATTTTAGAGGTTCACTATTTAAAACTTTTTTAGACCTCTAAACAAGCTAGGTTGAAGCCACTAACTTCACTTTATAGTCTGTTTACTCCACTTGATGGTAGTGTGGCAGATATTTAGTTGTTCCTCAGATACGTATTCCCTTTCATACTTGAATTTATGTAGTCCACATAGCTACTCGAAATAAAGACTACATTTCCCAGCCTCCCTGCAGTGGCCATGTGTCTATGTTCTGAACAATCGGACAAAAGCAAATGTGGCATGTTCAGCTTCTGAGTCCTCCTAAGAAGCGAGGCGGGTCATGCTTCCCTTCATTTTTCCTTCCTGCTAAATACAATGTGAACAAAAAAGCTTGGGTGTGGAGCAGCCATCTAGAATCATCAGGACCACCAGCCCACGTGGTGCTGTTGTGCAATTTAGAAAAACACCAACCCTCCCCATAGAACTTGGATTCTTAATGGTCCCTTTGTGTGAATTTTAAAAAGGCCACCCTTCCTCCATGCCGACTCAACGAGTGCCTTCGGGTGCTTGATGAGTTGATCATGGGATTAATTTCATCCCCTGCTATTTCAGTCTTTTGGCCATGTATCCTTGTACAGGACATGACTTAACACAACCATAGGTAGCACCCCTTTTGGGAAAGGAGGTCACACAGGACAAACAGATAGGTGTCTAGGTCTCTGTTACAGCGGAGTATCATACAGTCAGCCCTGGTCCACCCTACTTAAACTTTTAAGCCACTGCTATTTTCATCTGTCAATCCTAATATAGAAAGGGTCATTCACACTGAATTGCAAGCCTTGGATTTTACAACTGGCTATTTTGACTCACATCCTTTCCTCCCCACCCCCAAATTAGATATTACTTTTATTTAGAACAGCATTAATCACCAAGTGAACACTACCAATGGACCCCTTGTTCTGCATTCTGTGATTTTTCACCACTGGGCCACAGCTTCAGCCAAATTTGGTCTAACTGTGATAAAATTGTGGTTTAAAAAATCCAGCAATTCTTTTCTCTTAAAAGTATGTTCCTGGAGGATTATCTTATATGCAAACTCTATGCAAGTCCTCTTGCCTGGTTAGGTCATTTTATGACTGCTGCCTACAAAATAAGTAAACTTAATTGGTCAATATTCTCATGTCCTGTTATAGGCAACTCCAAAAAAGTGTGGAAAGTGGCTTGGATTATCAAGATACTCTCTACACTTAAATTCTGAGTACTGAACTAAGGGGTAGTTTTTATCCTCTATTTCACCACAAAGGGAATCCAGCCAACATGCTGAGAATCCTCAGAACTGAAAACAGAAGCAGACTAAATTTTGATTCCTTTTGACTTTAAAACCTAAAGACCATGTTTTTAAAGAGATGAGGTCTCTCCATATTGCCCAGGATGGTCTCAAACTCTTAAACTTGAGATCCTCCTAACTTGGCCTCCCAAAGTCCTAGGATTATAGGCATGAGCCACCACGCCTGTCTCAAGACCATCTCTTAACTGATATTTTTATCTGTTATTTTGGTAATGCCAGGAATGAGCCACTGAATTTAGACAGCAACTTTTTTTTTTTTTTTTTAATAATGACATGGTCTCGCTATGTTGCCCAGGCTGCTCTCAAGCAATCCTCCTGTCTTGGCCTCCCAAAGTGCAGGTATTACAGGCCTGAGCCACGGTACCTGGCCTAGACTACAATTTTCTGTTGTCTCTCTTACAAACAGCAACTAATTCATGCTTGAGCATTGGTAGAGTTATATGCTCTTCATCAAGTGACAGCAATGAAATTCTGTCCAGGGCTGGGCATAGTGCCTCACATCTGTAATCCCAATACTTTGGGAGGCCTACGCAGGTAGACTGCTTGAGGTCAGGAGTTCAAGACCAGCCTAGCCAATATAGTGAAACCCTGTCTCTACAAAAAAAAAAAAAAAAGCCAAGCACGATACTGTGTGCCTGTGATCCCAGCTACTCATGAGGCTGAGGTGGGAGGATCACTTGAGCCCAGGAGGTCGGGGCTGCAGTGAGCAATGACTGCACCATTGCACTCCAACCTGGGTAAGAGACCCTGTCTCAAAACAAAAAAACAAAAACAAAAAAAAAGAAAAGAAATTAGGTCCAGAGGAAGCAAACTATTATTTTGTAGCATCTCTGCTTTCAAAATTTTGGAACACGATTCCAAACTCAAAATACTTTTTTTTTTTTTTAAGGGTAATTCCTATTATTTGATCTCAACACCCCTGAGGTAAGTACACATATTTCCCCATTTTGATGCAGAAAAAGAGACGGGGGCAGTGAAATGGCCTGTCACAATTACATAGCTAGTTTATGGTAGAGCTGAATCTAATACCCAGATCTTTTAAATACACGCTTTTTCATCACTCACATTGGTTCACACTTCTCAATTTCCTGAAACTATTTCTTTGTAGCTCCATTTCAACCAGTATGAAATGCCAAATCTATCTCCTGGCAATCTCATAAATTTCACTGTATGATGTGCCAAGTTAAGTGTTTGTTTTGGCCTTGGCAGCAGATGCCCTGATTATGTCCACTAATGCAAACAGCTCACCAGTCTATCACTCTTCCTAATTGATTCAGCTCCTTTACACCGTTGGCTATCATTCTCTTTCATATGGCTTACTTTCGCTAGGTAAGAACTTTTCCAAGATTTAAGCTGCTTGATCAACCAAACATTATAAACCTACCTTTGATTTCAGCAGACTTGATAATCAGTCTTGAGGCTTTCAGATTCCCAAAAGGCAAATGTATATACTTTTTAAGAAAGGCTATGCAAATAGTTTTCATGTTTTATTTAAAATTTTACTTAATTCATAGAAGATGGCCCTTGAAAAGTCATATTTGTTTATAGATTGGATAGTCTTCAAAATTTATTAGTCTTGCATAAAATCGTCATGTTATTCTATGGTAATTGAAATACAATTAACTCACATATTCTTAACATTCTATTCACTGTTTTGTATTGTTTTGTTCTTAAACTGGAGGGAAAATTCAGATCCATGACAGCACCCACCACTTAAGAGTCATATTGGCTTCAGATATTCTGGAACCTCTGTATTCTTGATCAAACTAGGAAGCACACATTCCTCTAAGCTTAAAACTTTTTTGTTATTGTTGTTACTCAACAGAGTCATTTTATTCCTGGCTTTAATTAGCTTTACATTGGTTGCAAACATCTCTGGTATTGGGTCAAATAGAAAAATCACTTTAAAGCAGTGAAGACACTTTGGGCCATCTTTGTTTTTGAGACGGAGTCTCGCTCTGTCACCCAGGCTGGAGTGCAGTGGCACTATCTCAGCTCACTGCAAGGTCCCCCTCCCGGGTTCACGCCATTCTCCTGCCTCAGCCTCCTGAGCAGCTGGGACTAGAGGCGCCCACCACCACGCCCAGCTAATTTTTTGTATTTTTAGTAGAGATGGGGTTTCACCGTGTTAGCCAGGATGGTCTCGATCTCCTGACCTCATGATCCACCCGCCTCGGCCTCCCAAAGTGCTGGGATTACAGGTGTGAGCCACAGCCCCTGGCCCACTTTGGGCCATCTTTGGGTAGTTCTGTGTAAACAGAAAAATAACCATGACTCTTAAAATATAATGGATCAACACCATAGGAAAGGTTAAAAAAAATTAATGGAAAACCATGTAGACTGGAATTGAAATAGTGCTCTGCAAGTTGTAGATAATAAATGTTGAAAGTAACATTTTATTCATGCATTACCCAAGAAGTTAGAGAGAGAGAGGGAAAAAAGGAAAAGCTAGTAGCAGCAGCTGCAATTACAATCAGACTTTGGATATCAAGGCATTTAAACTGGGTCTTCTAATAGGATTACTCCTAGTCAGTCATGCTCATGTGGATTTTGAAGCACAGGGTGCCCCCAAAGGCACTCTCTTCTGAACAGTTAGGCTGCTCTGTAGTTTTACACATCTGTTACCATGTTTAATGAATTTTCAGTTGTGAATGAATTTGGAAAGTTAAAGCTTTTCAGAACGTTTTTTAAAAATGCACAGGATTCCAAATGTACAGATAGAAGTGACACAATTTTTGAAAATATTATTGAGCTCAACTTTTCCTCCATTTTATCCCTTAGCCCAATGATTCACTTCCATTCAGGGAGCCTTTCCCAACTTCTAACTCAAGTTAGGATAGATACCCTTTGAAGATGCTTCCTTGGCATACGTTCCTTTTCTGTTAGAATGTAAAAGGGGATCCCTTTACTCTTCTCTGTATTGAGATTGCCTAGCACAGAGCTCAAATGGATTCTGAAATGAAAAAATGCCTGATTCTCTTCATGAGGCCTCTGAAAAACATGTTGTGGGGTCCCTCTTGTGAAGGTCACCAAATGAGAAGTGGAGACAAACTCCATATCCATTTTACCATTTGTGGAAGACAGGGGCAAGTTTCCATTATCTACCTCAAAGATATCAGAAAAAATTGAAAAATCTTTTCACATTTATCATAATCTAAATCAAGTAGTACTGAAAAAGTAGTGAGGAAGGTTATGTGAATGATGGTGGAAGATGGGAATGAGGACAGGATGGAACAGCACGTAGAAAGATGGAACACCTGTAGAAAGAGAGCATTCTGATGGCATATGGAATAAACCCCTCTATCCCCCAAAAAGATGAAAGAAAGAAAAAGCTCTTTTTCAGCTTGACTCTAACACCTGCATTAAGAAGCATCACAGCTTGGAAAGACACAGTCCTAATTTTGAACAAAAAAGAAACAATATCAGAAATGTTAATCAGAACTTGCCTTTTCTTGACCAGCTCTTGTTCAAAATGTTCTGTATAATAATTACTGTTAATATGCACTGAAGGGCAATGATACACCTGCAGGCATAATCCTCAAACCTGAAAGGTCATTAAAATTGTATTTCCCCATTCTTCCCTCACATTAATGTTAACATAGACATGAAAGCAGACTTGAGGAAATTACGACTTATCTGTGAACACATGACAGCTTTAACCAAGAATATTGGCCCTGCTTTGTATTCTAGCCACATGTTCCTACTTTTTCAACAACCTTGAAAAATAAATATTTGAACTACAATCTTCAATAAAGTCCCTCTACATTTGTTGTCAGTCTTAATCACTTTTTTCTTGTCTGCTTAGTGCCTTTAGCTCTTAGATGTTGCACCTGGAGATTCTTGCTTACTTTATGATGTAGGTTTATACACCCTTTAATTGAAAGCAAACCGCCTTAGATAATAGAGTGAAAAACAATGTTACAAGGTCCACTTTCCGTTAAAAGGCAAATAGAAATATTAGGCTGTTCTCTAAAATGAACAAAAACACATAAAAATACATCATAATCTACCACTCCATTTCCTTTATCAGAGATAAAATCCCACAGCCTAAAAAGGCCTCTTTTGTGTGCATGTTTTGTCCCCCAGCAGGGGTGGCGAATACAAGGGACTGCAGTTCTCAATGACTAGTCTTTTCTCTGTCCAAAAGAAAGACTTTAGTCACACAGTATGTGAAATCTTTTTATATTCATGTTTCTACAATAACCATAAAAACTTTAACCCAAATTTGTTTAATACTTTAATTATCATGTACTGAAAGTACTTCATTAAAAAAAAAAAAGTAAAACTGACAATGGAAGGATGACAGGAACATATACCTCACCCTTAAGCAGTGTGTGTGATTTTTTTTTACATGAAGGTTAAAGTTGAGTTTATAAACTGACAGGAAAAGATATCAGAATTTATCTTTAAGGCAATATCATTTGTATAAGGTACCTTTAAATAGCAATATGACAATGGATCAAAGAGGAAACAGGGCCTATTCCTACATGACTGTGCGGAACATGTGAATGGCCATCCCTAGAGTTGTTAGTGTACAGCCTCCATGGACGGACCCTGTGACTGCATGCACTGAGTGGAGTTCTACATACACCAATGCAAAGAACTCATTAAAAAAAAGACAGAGACAAAATAGTTACTGCTGATGGAAATATTAATGCAACAAAAGTTCAGGCTTAGCATTGTCTCCTAAAAACTTCTGAGACATTTCAGTTAACATAAAAACTGTTACACTATGTATGGAGGCACACACTGGAAATATTTTACTAAGTACCCAACAACTGTTTTCAAAAAATCAGAGGAGGAAAAGCTTTCAAAGTTATATAAAGTTAAATGCATACAGTGAGTAGATATCTATTCCTCTGGGATTACTATCTTCCACCCACATTTTTTTTGGTTTTAGGGAAAAACCAGTAAGCCTCCAGCTTTCTTTTTGATTAAATGAAAGACACTAGACAAATGGATTCCATTCTTGGCCCCATCAAACAGCACTTACTAGCCAAATCGCCCTGTCTGGTAGGTACAGAATAGGGACTCAAAATATGGTTCTATTTCTAGTGAGCATTATACAAATGTAAACATGTACAAGTTTCCTAGTATTTCATGGGGTTGCTGCTCTGCCTCTAACAGTTCAAGCACATGTAGTTCTAAGATCAGATTTGTGCCAGTGTGCGTTGTGTCATTAACATTTTTCCTGCCAAGGTTAAAACAACCAAATATAAACTGAAAACAAAATAAAAAGCAAGGTCTCCTTTGCATTCAATCACACTGATATTCAACATAAGATGGCATGTCACTAGGCAAATCATTCAAACTACGGTTGGGAGGCACTTTCTAAACACTGAGAATTTGAGAACAAGGAATTTAATGGTAGTGCAAACCTCTCTGTTCACTGTCCTCACAACAGTATCCATCTTCTCATGAATTAAAAAGTCATTAATTTTTTTTTTTTTAATGGGAAAGCAGTTTCAAGATAAAAAAGTATTGCTATAAGTTATGGTGAATATCCGTATCTCCGACTTCAACCCTTTCCCACCAGTGTGAAAAGTGAATAAAGACAGCAAGAGTTTTTAGAAAGTTAACTTATATTAAAAAAGTATATAAACAATTTCAATACTACAAAGTAGTATTTCAATACAAAGCAGTTCAAATATTAACTGTTCTTTAAACTGTTAAACTTTATTATAAATTAAAATTTCTTTACAAAAAAATTGCACATAATATTTGACCACTCTTAGGTTCTGATGCACTGGCATTTGCAATAGTTTCTTTAATCTTCAAGTTAAACAGTCTCGGCAAGGAGTCCAGAACGTAGAAAGGGTAATAAACAACCCTGATAGAGCATTCAAGTGCAACTAGCAGACTTGTGGCCATGGCAGTTACACTTTCCTTAAGATGGACTGCTATAGTTTTAAATCCTGAAATGAAGAATCTCAAAAAAATTTAAAAAGGAAAAACTAAAAGGGACTGCCTGCTTTTTTTACTGTAAACACAGCCCTGGATATTAAATCCCAAACAGGAATCTCTCAGGCATCAGAGAGTGTCAAGTGAGTCAGGAATAACACAAAATAAAGGAATGGGGGAGAAAATAAAAAAAAACAAAGCAAAATTAAAATAAATGTCAGTCACTTTGAGGAACTATACTTACGTATATGATGTTATGAGAATCTGGCAGGGCCTAGAAGCAGGCCAAACAGGAAGTTCATTTATCCAACCGAAGAGGATCATGTTCATTGCTTCCGGTTTTGAGGACAGGATATTGTAGGGAACTTGATATGATCAATAACGCTTGTCTGCCTTACACAGACCTTAGCCAGGGATCAGCCTAATCTTGAAGAATCATTCAAATAATTTTGGCAATTATTATAAGGACTTAGAACTGACTGCACCCAGTGTTCAGTGATTCTTGCTTTCTGTTTTGTTACTGTTTAAATTTAAGAGCTCATTTAGGCTGACTCCAATCTCTTGGCACTTGGAAACTAGTTTTCTCAGGTTATCAGTTTTACCTCCTTCTGATGCTTCAAACAAGAGTTGCTGTAAAAGACAGGGAAGCATAGAAGTAAGACTTAGCTAGAGTTTGAGCATTACCACATCAATGGATATGGCACATGCAGAAAATTTACAGGAAAACATCGAGATAAAATAAAAGATAAAAAGCATTACATCTTTCCACAGTGATGCACAAAGAGGTAACTTCTGTAAGGCTCTCTGATATAAACGGTGGACCTGTAAGATAGATATACACACAATTCCATCAGAAAATATAATGAAAAACACCTTCATAATTCCATCTGTTTAAAGAATGGTAATTCACAATAACATCTGAGACAAAATGGTTATGCTGAGTTTTGGAGTTTCCGAATATTTGGTACTCTTAAAATGTTAACTACTTTTGTTTCCCCACTTGGTTCTTAGTGTGCATGAAATGTTAACTTCTGTGCTTTAATTCTTTTAAATTGAGAAGTCAACAAAAGAGACAGAAAAACTTTTTAAAAGTGACCCATCTGAGATTCAACCATGGCTTACCTCTCTTTGTCCCTTTAGAACAATCTCAGCAGCAATGGCTCTAAGAGAAAAAAAAAAAAAAAGAAATATAGAAAAAGGAAAAGAAAAATTTATATATCTTTGAACAAAATGAAACACCACCACTGGCAGAATACTGACTGTGGGAATCTGAGTACAAAACTTCCTGAAAGTTAACAGGCTAAACTTCCAAGGAGGAAAACCTATAGTGAAAAGAAAAATTCAACAATTTTTATCAACTTTACAAGAAAAAAGCAGACCAGTGTTTTGAACATAAATAACGTTCACAGGAGAAAAAAAAAACAACAACAACAACAAAAAAAAAACACCTCATAATTACTAGTCAAAAATACCTAGCACTAACACCTTTAAAAGAAAGAAGAAATCAGACTACAACAGGTGACACACCACCATTTCAAGAGGTGGTCTTAAAATGTCTGTAGCAGATTTGTTTGATAACAGTACTGTCACCTAAATGTTGTCCTTCAAAGAAAATTAAAAGTCTACGCTTTTTGCTTTTAGAGGCTATTCAATGAGTACTCACTCTCATTAAACCTCAGTAAATGCTAAAAACAAATCTAAATTAAGAATAGCAATCTGTCCAGGAAAAAAAAAAAAAAAAATATATATATATATATATATATAGATGTCATTTCAGATTTACCTGTCTGGAGCAAACCTTATAAATAAAAGCAATAGCTATAAAAACATGTACATGATTGTTGCATTACATTTTCCAGGTGGCCAGGCATGTTGGGATATTATATGTAAACATCTTGGCTTGAAGTTTCAGAATCTGAACATTGCTTTCTTCCCATTCATGTTGAAGTAACCTGTAAAGTACATTCAGGAAAATGAACAAAGCATTGCAAGTGTAACGAACCCCAAATGTGCTCTATGAGCACAATGACGAAGTATAAATTTTGATTAGTTAAATTCCATCAAGACTACCCAGCAAATATTTTAGAATGCCTCTTACAAAAATTACCCTGGGACAGGAATGTGCAAACTACGAAGAGGTCAAGTCAAGATCTATGCTCATCTTACCAAACTACACTAAGGTCCATGTATTTCTATAGGACATGAAAGCATTCCCGCCAAATAACAGTCCCTGTTTCCCACCCCAATTTTTTTTTAAAGTAATGGCTTGATAGTAATGCAATTTCCTGGTATTTTTCTTTCTTAGAGTATGATCAGTCTTGAATGTTTCTTGAACTAAAATGCATGTATAGTAACTATTAAAGTTCTTTATTCTCCTGGAAAAAAAGAACAGGGATGACCAGAGGAAATAAGTATCAAAACACAGATGTAGGGATTTACCAACAAAATAAACAAGTAAACTACCTATATTCTAAAATGCCTATCACAATAGAAAATCATGTCAAAATATGACATTTTCTATTTCACGTTTTATCAAAGGTGTTTCATAATTAACATTTCTGTAATGAGCTTCTACAGATTGGCAGGCTTGCTAAGAAAACTGTAAAATACTACCATTATGTTTGTCTCAACTTTAGTTTTTAAACTTTTATACGATTTTCCCCACATACATGCTAAATGAAATGTAAATCCTTTAAAACATAAGGGAACATTTCATAAATATTTTAGGCATCTTATGATCCATAAAACATTAAGATACAACTGATGCAGTGGGAATGACTGCAAACGTGGAAGCCAGTGCATTAGCATGCAGGGTACCTTTTTGAATTAAAAAGCATAATTCTTGCGGATGAAAGTGGATTTGCTGTATCAGAGCAGAGAAACTACAAAGAAAGGCTGAGAAATCTCGTTCTGATCGAATATATGAAATCCCTAATCAGTGCTTCAAAAATGTAGTGTGAGGGCTCAAGGTCAGGAATCTACATTTTAAATGAGCATCCCAGGAGATTCTAATGTTTGCCAATATTTGAGAGCAACTGACCTAGGTGAAAATATGAAAACATCTTAAATAATATTCCCTTGCCGTGGAAAACAAGCTTACTGCTTATAATGCACATGCTAAGGACAGATGGTGTGTGTTTAGGGAACACAGATGAACTTTACTTGAATGGAATTATTTGCCCCTTTGTAACCTGAAGTTTTCTGAAGCGACCAGAATTTTTACACTGACTTTTGAATGAATAGCTAAATATTGGCTTAACAACTCTGAAATTAAGCAGTATATATTCATGAGGACATAGTGGAACAACAGACTATTTTTATCAAGTTTTCAAGAATAATCTTATATAAAGAGCCTATTCCATTAGGCAGAGGACCAAAAGAATGTTAAGTTTTTCTTACCTCAATGCAAGTCCAGAATTAGCTGGCATAACTGAACAAAACCGTTCCAAGGTTTTGGAATGCTGGGTCTTTGGAACACAGCTCAAATAAAAGAAAATAACCTGTAAAGGTTGAGGGGGGCGAAAAATGAATGCAACCAAAATGTGAAATCCAATTACCTATGTGTTTTAACACGAAAACCAAAATGGTCTTTAAGATATGAATGTATAAATTATAATAATGTATGATGTTGTGAGTTACAGTTCCTACCATTAATTTTATTAGTGACTTTCCAAATATGAATTAGGAAATATGGTCTAGTGATGAGAGCCATGGGCAGAACACTGACAAGAAGCCAGGAGTCTGGGTTTTCATTCCTGAGTCTACCTTTACTTGCTGTATAGCTCGGCAAGTCATAGGGCTAATAATACCTGCCACATCTTGCTCATGGAATGCCCGTGTGTAAATGACTTAATGTCCATAAAGTGGTTTGAGATCCTGGGATAAAGAATGGCATAGAAGTACAAAGCATAATAATTGGTTATCCTGATTAGCAACAAAACCACCCCACCAAAAATAAATAAATAAAACATATATATGTTTTAGTCTACAATGAGCTTTAGCAAGGAGCTTTTTAGCCTATAATGCACTGAATAAAAGTGGTGTCTGAAAAAAAATTTTTTTAAAAGATAATCACAAAACTATATCATTAATTAGATTCTACTTTTAGAATTATAAGCAGCACCTAATTTTAAACTTTCTTATGCCTTGTGTATAGCTATATTTGCTTGACAAAATATTAACAAAGAGAGCAGCTACAATGTATAAGTCCATTCTTATTTATTTTGAAGTTACTAAATTTTTCATTCAGTAGAATTTTCAACTACTCAAGCAAAACATTACAGGTATTACAATAGAATCTTTCATTTGACGTGTTTTTTCATTAATATGTATTACATCTTAATATCCCTTCATTTTGCTTCAAATGTTAAATTTTCATAACCATAACATAATAATTAATGCACATTTTAATTGTGCCTTAAAGGGCTCTATTGCTAGACTCTGAATAGATAAATAAGAAACATAGTCAAGAATAATAGTGAATGTTAAGAAAGTAGTCCTAGGAAAAGCTCTCTTGATATAAAACAGGAGTTTTGCTATCATTTTTAAAGTCTCTTTGTTTTACACAAATATCTAAAGAAAAAAGTTTTGAGTTCTTACCCTATTATGAAATTCATAGTTGGACCAGTAATCAGCACTGCTAAAAGGAATGGGGTATCGGGCAGGGACTGTAACCAAACATCTATTCACTAAATCAGTAAAAAATTTGAATTCTTGAACTTTGTTTCTGGATCCAGCAGCTCTATTATTTGCAAAGACAAGATAACTGCCAAAAGAAAAATATTATAATTTAGAATAACTAAGACAGTAGTTCTCTCACCAAGAAAGCTGGTCACCCCTTTCCCGATCATACCCCTTTATCCCCAAATCTCATTCTTATCAAGAAAACCTAAACTTACTCCATCCATATCTTCTGTACTATATCACATCTCATAGCCACCCCTAATGCTGCCTCATATGCCTCCACTGTTTCTTTAATACTTGATTGAAGAGGATGACAAAGGCTGTTTAAAAAATGAAGGAAAACATATGTCTATCATTCATTTCCATCAGGTGAAGGAATGACAAAGTATTTTAAACATTACAGATGTTATTACAATAGAATCCTTCTTTTGACCTTTCTTCTCTAGTATATACTAAACCTTAGCATCTCTTCAATTGTGCTTCAATGACTTTAACATCAAGTTAATTATAACAAACACAGTGTAATTCAGTAATAAATAGCAAATGCAGGCCTAGTATGCAATATCTCTCCACAGTGGATGTCTCACCAGTAAATCAGCCACAAATAAGGAACTTGGTGGTTAAACATATCATCATCAAAATTCCCTTTACATAAACGAGATGGAATGTCAATTGGTCCTGGAATATTTAAGAGATACCTGAAAAAAAAAATCCAAATATTGTTTTAAATTACACCTACCCACACAGGAATTACACACATATTTTTTAAAATCGTTAGTTTCACTTAAATTTCATTGAAATATTTTTTTAGAAAGCAATGAGACTTTCTTTTCATAGGTATACCATACCTCTTTGGTCACATCTCTAGGATTACACATTACTCAAAATGCTTTTTTTTGTTTGTTTGTTTGTTTTTGAGACAGAGTCTCGCTCTGTCACCCAGGCTGGAGTGCAGTGGCATGATCTCAGCTCATTGCAACCTCCACCTCCCAGGTTCAAGTGATTCTCATGTCTCAGCTTCCTGAGTAGCTGGGACTTACAGGCATGCATCACCACACCCAGCTAATTTTTGTATTTGTAATAGAGATGGTGTTTCACCATGTTGGCCAGGTTGGTCTTGAACTCCTGGACTCAAGTAATTCTCCTGCCTCAACCTCCCAAAGTGCTGGGATTACAGGCATGAGCTGCTGCGCCTGGCCACAGTTTTATTATTTTATACCTATATGAAAAACTCTCCTCCTAAAATGAATTTTTTATTCTATCCCCAAGATTAAACAAAACACCATAATCCTCTAAATAAACCTAGTTTAAAAAGAACAAATGAGTCTACCAAGTATCTGAAATTTTCCAATGAAATCTGTACTTTCTTGTTAAAAAAAAGATTTACAAGGCCTGGGGCTGTGGCTCACACCTGTAATCCCAGCACTTTGGGAGGCTGAGGCGGGTGGTTCACTTAAGGTCAGGAGTTCAAGATCAGCCTGGCTAACAACTTGGGTGAAACCCCAAGATCTCTACAAAAAAATACAAAAATTAGTCAGGTGTGGTGATGCACACCTACAGTCCCAGCTACTCCCGGGCTGAGGTGGGAGAATAGCTTGAACTCAGGAGGCAGAGGTTACAGTGAGCTGAGATCACACCATTGTGCTCCAGCCCATGTTATAAAGTGAGACCCTTTCTTAAAAAAAAAGATTTACTAAACCTTATATCTGAAAGTAATCTCTCTCACATACAGCCATACACACATACAACCCATTTAAGTTTAATTTTAGACATGATATCAAAGTGTATTCTATAACACATTAGCCTGTAAGGTACCTGTCAAAAGATCTATGATCAAATAAGGTTGGGAAATACTACAAATTATAGCCCCATCTTGAAAAGCCACAATACTTACTAGGATTATAGGTCAATCCCAGTGACTCTAAGAAGTCAATCAGTATAGAATTCTACTTGACTAAGTCCATCTTCCTTCCAATGTATTTTAATTTGTGTGTATGATACTTACCACCATCTTTAAGAACAATGTTTTTAAAGGAAATACATTGATCGCAAAAATGACAATCTAGTATAACTATTTATCTTAAATTTTTAAATAATTGCAAGGGAACAAGTCTTAATGAATTAGACGGGCTGTATGGGGGGCAAACACAAGAAAGAGAAGAAATAGAACATCTAGAAGTTAGGTTATCATCCTGACTTTGCCAAGACAAGCTACATCACCATGAGTTAATCCCTTAACTTCCTCACTGAAAACTGAGATGGTCAGAAGAGATGACTTCAAATCTAATCTACTTAAGACTATAATCCCTAGTTTAACTTTACTAAAGTAAATGAAATCCCCAAATTAATTTTTCTGGCTATCTACTTAATCTTCAAATTGACTTGAAACACATGAAAATTACCCTATCTAGTTCTTTCTGCCTGCCATCTTTATACTAAATGTCACATAGAGAGTTGACAGAATTCAACTCCAGGTAAAAATTATAGTGCTAAGCATTTTGCTTAACAATTTCTACTCATGAAATTTTAAAAGTATTTTGAACCAATTAAGAGCAGATTTCTCCTATTAATAAACATTGACAACTTATGAATTTAAAAAACTTATATCAATATACAATAAGTATGGCAATGCCAAAAATGGTCTCATCTATCGTCATTCTCCTAATATCTGATGAAAAAGACTCTCTAACAGAAATGCACAATCTTTGTGTAACCAAGAGTTTCACTATTGTCTAAATAAGCTATAAACAGGATACCTTTTTCTCTTAATTCTCAGTGAATTATGACTATTTCCACAAAGGAATTTAATAAAGATGACTTAGTAATGAGAATATATTTGGAGACAACTCATTTTCAAATTTTTATTGATGCTTATTTATTCTGCCAATTAAGCTGGCATCAAGAAGATCTGAAGATCTTTCATTAGTTACCAAGGCAGAAATTGGTAGCATTTTCTTTTAAACTAAACCAATTATCTCTGTGCCCAAGACCAGAACCAGCAAGTCTCTAAAGAGTTTGGTTCAGCCTTGAATTAGCCCTTTGCCTGAGCTTGAGATGTTAAAGCAAACTAATTTAAACGAGGAAGAAACTGAGTATGGAGAAGCTGAAAAATCTCTAAATCCCTTATGGAAGTTTAATTATTTTCTATTAATTTGCATTTAAAATTATTTCATTTGTAATTATTTGTAAATATTAATCTGGATGTAACAGAGCAGAAAGAAGGGCCCTTTGGGAAGGGCACTAAAATCGCTATGGCAATAAACTGGCTACCATAAGAGGACATATATAAAGACTCAAGTCTGGGAGGGAATAGTGTCCCCAAATCTTAAATAAAACTGCCATGTTCACAACAAGTTCTAGGGTGGACCGGGCGCAGTGGCTCACACCTGTAATCCTAGCACTTTGGGAGGCCAAGGCAGGCGGATTGCCTGAGCTCAGGAGTTCGAGACCATCCTGGGTAACACGGTGAAACCTGTCATTACTAAAATATAAAAAAATTAGCCGGGCGTGGGGGTGTGCGCCTGTAATCCCAGCTACTCAGGAGGCTGAGGCAGGAGAATTGCTTGAACCTGGGAGACGGAGGTTGCAATGAGGTGAGATCGCACCACTGCACCCCAGCCTGGGAGACAGAGCAAGATTCCGTTCTCTTAAAATAAAATTAAAAAAAAAAAACAAAAACAAAAAACAAGTTCTAGGTTGAATAGATCACTTACTTAACAAAATTTGGGCTTTAAGATTCTATTTTCGCTCATCTGTATTTTCTACAAGAAATTTTTTGGGGAGATATTCAGCTTAGGTCTTTCTTCTCTTGTTCTTCCTAATACAAAATAATAGAGTATGTTGTGATAAAATATTTTCCTTTTGATGCTGTTTTACTTATGATCGGCAAACCATGCCTATTTTTGTAAACAGTTATACTGGAACACAGTCATAACCATTCACTTGCATTTCATCTATGGCTGGTTTCTCAATAAAGCAACATAGTAGAGTAGTGGTAATAGACTACATGGCCTGCTAACCTAAAATATTTACTTTCTGGCTCTTAAGAAAAAAGTTTGCTAACCCCATAAAGAGATGAGGAGGACAAAGGAAAGATAATTTTAAGAGCCTCCCCCCAAAAAATCATTATTCAAAATCTGCCATGACCTCTTACTGTTGGAATAGGAACTCTCAGGAAAGACAGCAAGCACAGCTCTATATGAGCTATTAAGAAATTAATGGTTGAGAAAAGAATCCTCTGAAACGTCTTACTCTATAACATTTCAGAGGCTAGAGCAGTTCTCTTCAGAATTAAAAAAAGAAAAAGGCGTATTATTTATAGTCACTTTGATGACCTATCAAATAAATGAAAATACATTTTGTAAAAAATCACTGAGATTGCCTTGGGATAATTAAGTGCTATAATATTAAGTACTAAAATTAACAACAATAACGATAAAGTAAAAGAATGAGTTACTATGGTGTTAGTATATGCCTTACTTTGTACAGTGTGTTTAATCCACAGAATGTTAAAGAATTTTCCATCTTGCCTCCATTTTTATTGTTCTATTTATTCTGTTTCAAGTATTCTGTTAAGTGGGTATTCAAGTACTAAAAAGTCAGTCTAAAATGTCATCATATAAGAAAAAAACTGTAATCTTTCTACTGAACTGTGCTCTCTCTCATTCCTCTACAAACTAAGAATTCTACAACTTACCGAAACAGATCCAAGTTATTATACTTCTCAAACCCCGGTTTAAAGAAGGATGCAATAAATTTCCGCAAAAATGGAAGAAGATTATCGCCTCGATTCTATTTTAAAAAGAGGGAGGGGGATATATATCAGGCTTACAATGTTTAATTAAAATGTCACGAGGGAGAAAAAAAGCCTTAAAAAAGTACTCATTAGATTAAGTTTCTTGAGTGGGTAAGGGGCGGAGGGGATAAGTTTGAGACATACTCAGAAAACTTTTATATTTTACTCTCTGAATTAAGTTCAACTAATGATTAAACAGCTTAACTTCTAGTATTACCACAGGCTCATATTTCATCCACCAATTATGTATTAGCCATCTAGCACCATGGTAGGCGTTGGGCTGCAAATATGAGTAAACATGTTCCTTGCCTTCAAGAAGTTTAGTATAGTATATATTAAAGCAGCTAGGAATAAAATTACAAAGCACTGTACTAAGTGCTATGGCAAAGAGAGAAGGAACACCTAACACTGCTTGCAAAGGGTAAAAGGACCAGGAAACACTTCCTGGTGAGGCCAATAGCAAAATTTGAAACATAAAAGCATCATATTTAAGAATTATGCATCATTTTTACCTGTAAGATGAAGAATTTGCACATATGATAAAAAACCTCTGCATTCTGAGGATTTTTTTCAAATGCAGTAAGCCACACTGCTCTGGCTTTGTCATGCTGATTTGTTTGCAAATATAATGCAACAAGAGCTTCCAGCAACTGGCAGTTAATAGGACATGATTCCAATAAAGATTTACAAAGCTCCATTGCAGCCTCATACCTTAACAAAAAAGAAAAAAAAAGGCTAAAGACATGAAAAGATCACTTTTTAATATAAGGTTAGCTGCTTGGCAATTAAGTTGTACCTCTCCAGGAGTTGGTGCAGAGCAATCATGTTTGTGTAAAGTGGAAGGCAGGCCTCTATTCTTTCCTCAACAGCAAGGCTCTCATCTGTGCAAGCTTTCACTGCATCTACCCAAAAACATCACAACAACATGAATCACGTCAATCATAAAAATGAAATATTTGACTGTGTTACTTCAACTCTGAGAGACCAATGGGAAAAGATGACCCCTCCCTTTGATTACCCATCCATCATCTTATTCACCTTTACTGAGCTGGCTTTTACTCAAAGGAAGTAATTCAAGTAATCTCCAAAATCCTAAAATTCAATTCCTTACCCTCAACTTTCCTGGTAAGAATAAAGCCATCCCATATGAGCTTTTGCATCTATCAGTGTTTTCATTTAAACAAGTATCTCTGCAATTATCCTAAATTCTTTAAAATCCATCTCAACAAAAAAAAAATTACAGAATAAATTATCTTTTCATCTTTCCCTGACCACTGCAAAGGAGGTCTTGCTCTGCTGCCCCACAGCCATTTGAATGTCTCTCCAAACTAGATCCTTTCCTTACTCCATCAAAACACACTTTTCCCCTTGTAAAGAGTTCTTTCTTGATCTTTTTGCCACTTATTAAACGGTACAATGTTTTACTTTGCCCAGCTGTGACCATTTCCTCCTTACCCAATGGTACCACAGCTTCCCAGATCTGTGGAGTTTAAAAGTGAATGCAATCACTTTGAAACTGTCTTCTTGAAGTTCATTCATAAGGACTCATATCTAACCAAACATAAAAGCTCACCTCTACCTTCATTTTATTTAACATTTGACAGTGTTCTTTCCCTTCTTTTTAATTTCTTCTTGCCTCTGCTTCCAATAGATTGTTTAAATTTCCTCTTAGTCCCATTTTAATGACTCTACTCTCCCTTTTACTCCTTACTGTTATGCTCTTAAATCTCATTTCCTCAGAAAAAATATCTCATAGCCTCAACTACTGCATAATTTACTTCAAAAGCACATTATAAAAACTGTAAAGCACCCTGTAACACAGTAACTTCTATGTGAATAACACTCAAATCCACTTATGTATTGATAATTGTCCAATTAAGGTCCACTTCCTTTTCTTTTTTTTTTTTTGAAATGGAGTCTTGCTCTGTTGCCCAGGCTGGAGTGCAGTGGCACGACCTCGGCTCACTGCAACCTCTGCCTCCTGGGTTCAGGCAATTATCCTGCCTCAGCCTCCCGAGTAGTTGGGATTACAGGCACACACCACCATGCCCGACTAGTTTTTGTATTTTTAGTAGAGACGGGGTTTCACCACGTTGGCCAGGCTGGTCTCAAACTCCTGACCTCAAGTGATCCACATGCCTCAGCAGATTATCAAGTGCTGGGATTACAGATGTGAGGCACCACGCACGGCCAAGGTCCACTTCCTTATTTCCTACCGCCAACAATCATTTCCACTTGAATGACCAATTACAATCACAAATACTACTCCTACCATCAAAATCAGTCTTCCCAACTTACCAGTTTTCTATTAATGACACTTTCCTTTTCCCAGTCTCAAAACCCTGAAATCTTTGTTTACTCCTCCTCCTCTTCCCTGACATTTAATCTTCAACCCCCCCGCCTCACCCCCATGTATTTCCATGTGATAACTTAAAATATCTCTAATATCCTCCTTACCAGAATACTTTTCTTGTACTTCAGTTACTGCCATCAGCTTCTGGTTGGTTTTCCTACCATTGGTATAATTTCTCTTCAAGCACATTCTCTTTCTTAAAGAACCTCTACTGCCATCCAGTCTACCACATTTTCAAGATTCTTGACAATCAAGTATCATTCTACTTATCAAGCTTAATCACTACTATTGTCCAGCACAGAATTCTCAGTCTGATAAGACCTATCCCTTTTCCCAATCTCACTTCAAATCCATTGCATAAATTCCCTTCTACCTGTTGCTTTTTGTTTATTTAACTCCCCTAACAGTAATGTCCTTTCTTTTCTCTCCTTCCTTCACAGGGTATTTAATAAGCACTTAATAATTTGCCAGACATCCTTACAGGCCCTTAGGAGTAAAATGATAAATAAGACAAGGGTCCACCCCATCTCTGATGAGACCCACTTTGTCATACTGATAGCCATGCTTCGACATCTAGCTCCAGGTCCCCATTCTTCTATGAAGACTTCCTTGATCATGCCAATCTATAATAATCTCTTCCCTTTGGGTTCATGGCCTGTATCAAATAATTCTATAAATCACAGATCCTAGTCTCTTTTTTTTTTCTTTTTTTTAGAGACTGAGTCTCACTCTGTTATCCAGGCTGAAGTACAATGGCATGATCTCAGCTCACTGTAACCTTCGCCTCCTGGGCTCAAGCGATTCTCATGCCTCAGCCTCCCGAGTAGCTGGGAATACAGGCGTGAATCACCACGCCCGGCTAAATTTTGTATTTTTAGTAGAGATAGGGATTCATCATGTTGGCCAGACTGGTCTCGAACTCCTGACCTCAGGCAATCCGCGCACCTTGGCCTCCTTGGCTGGGATTACAGGCGTGAGCCACTGTGCCCGGCCCTAGTCTCTTTTACGTAGCATACAATTTAGACTATATACTAACACACAGTTATATGGCCTTGTATGTTTAATAATTATGACAAATGTATAGATTTTATCTTCTGACTAGGCTATATACTTCCTTCAGGAAGAGGCTTTATATCTTGTAATGTGTTCCACAATAGTCGTATCATTTAATATAGAGAAGCAACCAAACTCACTGACTGATGGAGAAAATATTAATTGGTTGAAAAGATAGAAATCTTTAAACTTCCACCTTAATGGACTGCTAAAAAAAAAAAAAAGTACCTAGTTCTCTGATTTAATCAATTCATCAAACTTACATAATTTATTTTCTCTACGCATTTAACAGATATCCTTTGCCACAATCAGAAAGATAAACAATGTAATATCGTGCAGTTATTGGTTTTCAAAGATGCCAGTGTCCATCTTCTCTGATTCAAGACTTAATTTGCCTAATAAATTGTGAAACTAAAACTTGCAATATAGAGATATAAATTTGTTCCACTTAATTACAGAGAATCACAATAATGGGTAGTTAATGTTCTAAACACTGATGTTATAACAGTTGATATTACAATTTATAAACTTTATACTTACCTTCAAAAACTGCTAACAACATGTCAGGATTAGTCTTTACATCTTGAACAGCTTGCCATGGCATTACAAATGATTCAGTGTTAACAATTCTTGAAGGATTATCATTAGATGGATCATAAAATTTTGAAGGGAGAATGTTGAATTCAATAAGATGTATGTAGGCCAACCATGCCAAACATCGATCACTGGTTTTAAGGTATTCAGCTACTATTCCATCATTAGCAGATTTCAATGCATTCTAGGCAAAATTTAAAATTTTTTGATAAAAAAATTAGAGATGTCAGTACCAGATTAACATAATTTTTACTATGCTAAAGTTTATGAAATAATAAAAAGGTCACATTTATTTGTACATTTTAAGTGTCCTGATACTTAAAATCTAATAAGACAAAGACAAAACAGTAAAAAGAAAAAAAATCTTTTAAACCACACCCATATAGATTATTTTCATCAGACTGATTTTTTTCCTTTATGGCTTAAATCTTGAAGTTTACCTGTGGATACTTAACATAAAATATTTTCATTGAAAACTTATAAAAACTCTAAAGATATTACACCCATCAGGCAAATGAGGAAATAAAGTCATAAACTTACCCAATGTCACATGACTTACTAGTAAGTGGAAAAACAAGGATTCAAATCCAAATCTTGTGCTTTCAACCATTAAATAATGCTATGGATAACGGTGTAGACCTTTTAAACTTTTTCTGCAAAATGCAATTAAATGCTGTACCAAGTGCTTACCTGTAAAATTGCCAGTGCACTTTGGCATCTTCCAGTAAATATGTGCAGCTGAACTCTAAACAAAAGAGCCTCTAAAAGCTGAAAGGACAAAATATTGGATGTTTCCTGCTTGGCTGCTCCCATCAGAAACTCCAACATTCTCTCACATACGTAATCCTTTTCTTCAAAGGTACTTTCTAGGTGTAGAAACTGCCCAAAGGGCCTTTATATTATTAATGTTGCCTTTCAGGAATAAACCAAAACTACAGACTTTTCACATTTCATTAAGAAACCATCTCATAGTAAATCTTCAACTTCTGCAAAAAGGATTACTGTAAAAATGTATAACTCCATCTTCTAGTACTACAACCTAGACTCCCTCTTCTATCACATATCGAAAAGTGGAATCAGATGAAAACTAAAACAATACAGATATACTCTTAGAGATATCACTGAAGCAATTTCATTTCTCTTTTCCCTGACTTAAAAGGTAAATCGCAGCAAGATCATGATGAATATCCAAAAGTACACATTTATTATCACATACAATTTGTGTTGCTTAGGTGTGTGACTGTATAAAAGTTTTGAGAATAGATTTGTATTAGAAATGTGCTGGACGCGATGGCTCATGCCTGTAATCCCAGCACTTAGGGAGGCCAAGGTGGGTGGATCACGTGAGTTTGAGACCAGCCTGGCCAATATGGTGAAACCCCATCTGTACTAAAAATACAAAATTTAGCCAGGCACGGTGGTGCATGCCTGTAGTCCCAGCTACTTGGGAGGCTGAGGCAGGAGGACCGCTTCAACCCAGGAGACGGAGGTTGCAGTGAGCCAACATCACACCATTGCACTCCAGCCTGGGTGACAGAGCGAGACTCCGTCTCAAAAAAGATTTAAAAAGAAAGAAAGGAAATGCATGACAAAACACATTAAAGACCAAGCAATTTCAAAGAAAAATATTACATCTTTTGAATATTCCACACCCTATAAAATCTTGTAGTGATAACAGCATTCACTTAGGTACAATGCTCTAGGTTAAAAAAAAATCAAGCATGCTTTACTATCCAAATCTGTTCACTACCTGAGTTCAAAGAGTAAGAAATAGAGTAGCAAGTTTATTAAGCGGTATCATGTTATCCAAATCTATTTGGTTCACAACTTCAGTTGGTAAGTAAATGACAGATTTGACAGCAATAGATTTATTTAAAAATTTATCTGAAACTAATGGCTCCCAAGTTCAGGTGATAAAAGTTCAGGTGAATATTTATTTTATTTCTCAAGTGGATCAATTATAATTTTAAGTCTGGGTAAAAAACATCCCATTCTTGGCTGGGCATGGTGGCTCACATCTATAGTCCCAGCACTTCAGGAGGCCCAGGCAGGAGGATTGCATGAGCCCAAGAGTTCAAGACCAACCTGGGCAACAGAGCAAAAACCCATCTCTACAAAAAATCTAAAAACTATCCAGGCATGGTAGCACGCATGTGTGGCCCCAGCTTTTCAGGAGGCTGAGTCCAGGAGGACTTGGGTCCAGGAGGTAGAGGCTGCAGTGAGTCACGACTGCACTACTGCACTCCAGCCTGGGTGACATAGAGAGACCCTGCCTCAAAAACTGACAGCCAAAAAAACCATCTCATTCTCTTGGAGAAAGAGGAAGAGGCCATTTTTTCTCAATCAAATGTTTTTAGCTTGGCAATTTTAGATATTAGTGTGAATTACAGATTGGGATTATTTCTATAAGCAATGGAAACAAATAATAAAAAGACAAAAATGTTTCCTGGCAGTCATTATAATTTTATAGAGGCAATTTAAGATAAATTTAAAAGAAACAATTTTTTCAGGTGTTTTGCAAAAGCTACACTTAACTTTGCCCAAACTAAAACTGTGTAAAAATAGGTAAGTGTGAAATTTTTAACAATTTTACATTTTTTCTTTACCAATAAAGTTAACAACAACAAAAAAATCACCTCTTCACTAAATATTTTCTTCTTGCTTAGTCTAAATTCTGATCCAGAAGTGGCTTTGTGGTTACTAGAAACTGAAAGTAAGGTTATTATGTCTATATTCAGATAAAGCATATGCTCTATTAAGCTACTTATCAATTTTTAAGATGATCCAAATAATTATACACACACACACACACACACACACACACGTACGTTATCTTTTCTACTCACAGTCCAAAAGCTTTGATAATCTGGAGCATATTCAACAGCTGTTTCACACATTTCCTGCACCTCGTCCTTGGTTCCTCTTTTTGAGAACAATCTGAGGTAATGGCACCAAATTTCTGGATTGTCTTTGTTATTTTCCAATGCTCGCGCCAGAACATTTAAAGCAGAATCCAAGGATTCTGAGCACTCCCTGTATATATAAAAGAAAAGGTGGAAGTGCTTTTTAGAACCTGCTTGAAAATTTAAATAGGGCTAATCCAATGAGTCAATTTTAAAATTCCATTTTCTACTAGAATTTACCAAGAAGTCAGGATCACTTATGAAAAGGGGTACTAGATTTCAGATTTTAAATCACATGCCTAAAAGTTTCTGATTTTCCACAGACCCAACAATTTTTTTAAGTGAATGTTCAGTAAGCATTTACCACAGATAAAAGTACAGTGTTATAAAACCACTAAGATTATCAACTTCAAATGTGCTTTATGTCCATATTCAGCAATACCTTTTATGATTTACACCATTTGGGAATGCGAAAAGTTAAACAACTCTCTCTCAAGGCCAGCTACTGCAAGTACAAAATATCAAAGCTTTCAGTATAATAGTTCTTTTCAACGGTCAAGGGCTTGCTATCTCTTGGAGAAGATAATTCTTTCTCATGATCCTATTCATAAAATAATGTATGGTTCTTTTGGCCTTCACTCAGTAAATGAGTCAGAAAAGAAAACACTGTAACTTATCCCATTAACATGGAAATGACACACAGGAAAGTTAAATAAGCAACACATCCAGGCATGTGTGGGTTTATTAGCACTCTGCAGCACTGCCTTATTTAAAAGCTTTAAGATAGTCAAATATTTCAAAGAAACGTGTAAAAAAAAAAAACCCTTGAATTATTGTAACTATAAAGTTATAATTATGAAAAGATTATTCTTGGCTTATTTCTACTACCAAGAAGTTAGAAGATGCCATTTGCAATACAAACTATTGGTTGTATAAGTTATTACCATTTACCTTATTTAAATACATATAATTTAATATGACAGAGACAGAAAGAAAATTCACCATAATTTGGAAGTTCTCAGATAAGCTTTAAATATCCATTACAAATTAACAAAATTTAACCTGTTCCACCATTATTTTATCATAATTTTATTAACAAACTATGACTACTATGATTTTTTTAAAAAACAATCAACCATTCCACTAGTCAGAATTTACTGTTTTAACTAATCCTACTTTGAAATAAGAGCCTACTGGAGTAAAAAACTTTAGTATAATTTATTACCCATACACTGAGCCATGCACACAAACTCAAGATCTAATCTTAAACTTGTCTAATAGCTTTTAAACAATAAAATGCTTTTGGCTTTGTCAAAAAACAAAGACTCCATTGATACTAGGAAAGAAACCTGACTGATTACCATAGGTAAAAAAACCTCAAACATAAAAATATAAATGTGCAACTGTTTACACAAAGATTTGAAGTTGACCTACCCCTCATTTTGATTCAAGTACTTGTACGCAAGCTTGAGCCAAAGTTGTACATGAGAAGGATTTTCAAGCACACTTGCTTCTAAATTAGCGATGTCATCAGTCTCATTTGTAAAGTATCTGACATCATCTGGAGTGACAACTGTATCCAGAGCTGGAACATTTATTTGGTTCTCTGGCTGGAAAGCTATTTAAAAAAAAAGTATTATTAGCTTCACATTTTCTTTAGTCCACAGATGCAAGAAAAAGAAAACAATTGGTCTCATCTTTAAAGTAACTTAAAAACCTAAAGATTCTAATGACATGTACTAGCTCACAGCTTTAAGGTAGAGCTATGACATAATTTATCACCCAAACCAGGACCCTTCTGAGTGGAAAGAGGTGCTACTAAAAATTACACCAGAACAAAAGGAGTAATTAGAACTCTGCTATTTTAAGGCTAAGTGACATTACCTTTTCAGTCCACTTAACAGTAACTATGATTCAACTGCTTTTTCATTATTATCAAATGAATTCACATTTGTTAAACTGCAAATTATAATTAAGAAATTAAAAGTCATAATTTATAAAGATTATTCTACTATATCTAAACTAGAAAAACAGTGTTACGTTAGTGTAAATAAGTACATAATAGCATACATCTCTTGGATACTTGCTAATTCACAAATAATGCAAACTTGAAATTAGAAAGTAAAATGTGCCTAACATACAGGCACTCATTCATACATTATTTTGTTCATTAGTTCATTCATCATTTGTTCATTCTCATCTTTTGAGCCTTCTGCATGTCAGAAAACATATTCAAAGATGAAGTAAAATAGAACACCTGCCCTTAAGGAGGACACAGGCTAGGCAGTGGTTCTCAAACGGGAGCTACCTTCCCCACCAACTAATGTATGTTTGGAAATATCTGAAGCAGTCATAATTATTAACTAAGCAGTGCTCCTTGCATTTACTGGAGAGGAGCCATGAACACAAATATCCCGCAATTTCAGAGGCAATCCTGCACAGTGAATTAACTGTATTGTCTAAAAACCCAATGGCATCGTTTTTAAAAAAAATTTTTTTTTAACCAGGCAGGCTGATACACCAAAGGATTAGCAAAGTGTTAAATAAAGATGGAACACCACAATTTAATAATTCTGGATCTTAAATTACATAACTTCTTACCATACTTAATTGGTCCTGTAGACTGTTCCTCATCACTACTGAAGCTATTATCTGAAATAGGTTTTCTCCAAAACTTTGGCTTCCACTTTCTTTTATCTTTGTAGGTTGTAAATGGAGGAGCTAAAGTAGATAGGAGAAGATTGTTAATTGATATAACTAGTTTTTTTTTTAACATTTTGAAGGATACTCAAATAATATTTGAGAAGAACTACATTCACTCCATCTTAGAAATGATACGTATTTTTTTTTTTTTTTTGAGATGGAAGTCTCACTCTGTCACCCAGGCTGGAGTGCAGTGAGTGCAGTGGCGCGATCTCAGCTCACTGCAACCTCCGCCTCTCGGGTTCAAGTGATTTTCCTGCCTCAGCCTCCCAAGTAGCTGAGGCTGCAGGCACACGCCACCACCACCCGGCTAATTTTTCTATTTTTAGTAGAGACGGGGTTTCACCATGTTGGCCAGGCTGGTCTCGAACTCCTAACCTCAAGTGATCAGCCCACCTCAGCCTCCCAAAGTGCTGGGATTACAGGCGTGAGCCAGCGCACCCAGCCTGGAATGATATGTATTACATTAAGAACATAATACCAACAAAATTTCTGTCATACAGAAACTAAAAAGTCCTTTTCAGAAAGAGATACAGTACACACACACACACACACACACACACACACACACACTTATATATGTACTTACTATGACCTTTACTTTCATTGATATTGCTAACAAGGAGAACAGCCATCTGGTCCATTGACATTCGATCTTTGTTTACTCCAAAAAGTTTCTCAACATATTTTTCTGAAATAAGAGCAATGCAATCTTCATGATAAATATCAATTACAGAGACTAGGATAATTAAAATGTATGACGTGAACTAGTTTAAGAATTAAAGGCGATTATATGGTACTAGTCAATAACACCTATGGCATTTGAAAGGGCAAAGCCTGTATTATCTTAACTACTATGGCAAATCCTACCACATCATATACCCCATTTGGGATTAAAAAAAAAAAAAAGTAGTTCCTAAAATGAACTAAGTAATTAAGTTAAAGTCCCAAATTGGGAGCGATAAAATAGATTCAGTGACATTACAATCACTCTGGGCTGTGATAACACCAAATTTAGTAATTATTATTTTCTTTACTTCCAAAAGATTTGTAGCTTGAGGTTTATTACTTGGCACCAAATCTGAGAAAAAGCTTAATAATATTTGCTCACAAGTGTATCAAGTCTTATTTCATTATAGAATTGGAAACAACAGCCATCGTAATTTCCAGCCTTCCTCTATTTTTTGAAAACAATAAGTAAAAATAGGCTCCTATGTTAAAATCAATAGTAAAGTTTCTATACAAATAGCTTAATATTTTCTTTTAAATAAATGGAACTAAATATTTAAATGAGCTCTGTCCAAAGAACTTTCTGAAATGTTGGAAATGTCTTAAATCTGTGCTGTCCTACTGGCATGCACTTGCCACATGTGGCCATTGGGTACTTGAAATGTGGCTAGTGTAACAGAGGAAGTAAATTTTTACCGTAATTATACTGGATACAGCAAATCTAGATAAAGTATTATGGGTAAATACACTGAATTATAGTAAGTATTTTACAATGTCAACAACTAATATAGAATTTTTAAGTTGCCTAAATTCAATTTTCATTTGGGAGAGAATAGGAAGTCTTTAAAAACCTGCTGAAGCAGTAATTTCTTCATTAGTACTTGTCTCTGCACAACCAATCAAAGACAGATTATATGACAGAATGTCCTGGAATAACTGTTTTCGGCTAAGTGTATAGTCTTGTATATGCTGCCTAAGATAAAAAAAAACACAGAAAAGATAATCATGTACATATCAAAGTTAAGCAAACAAGACCATTTTTCAAATTACAAAATGTTCACAAAAACTACTCACCATTGACAATCATCATCATTACATGTTCCTGTTAAATCAAAACGGCAGAAACACTGATCCGGTTCAATCATATTACTGTATGATACTGAGCTCAGGGGAAGTTTTTCCTTGGTTCGATAATATGGACTAAATCTAAGGTGAAGAGAGTGAACAGGTATATTATGCCCAACAAACATTCCTCAGAAAACTAAGAAAACTTTAGTTTTTCTTTCTCAAGTTAAAATTTCCATGCTTACTATTTATGAGCTATTTATCTAATTAAATTAATGCCAAAATTAATTCGAGAAAAGACCTAGAATATCAAGGGATAGAAACAAGTTGCTTTTATACCAAGAACATAAAATAGTTTAAACAGAAAAAAAACCTTGTATTCTAAAAGTAGTTTCTCACCACATAATAAAATACTATATAATACCGGTATTTCTTACACACATTACCAGCCAAGACAAGAAAATCTGGAAAAAGTCTATATTACCTGGAAGGTGCTTTACAATTTTAAGATAAAAACATGCAACCCTTTAACATTCTCACAACTTTTAAAAGTCTAAATGGGGGACCCACAAAGTTAATCATATGAAAATGTCTAAATAAATTTTATGAAGGCTGGCCAATGCACTTCTTAGACTGAATAACAGTAAAATTAAAAATCAAAAATTAAAAAAAACCTCTAAGATTCCAATTATTTTTCCTAAAATTCCTAACAAACAGAAATCCAAAATTCTCCACACTTCTACCAATAGCCAGAAACTGGAATTTGATACGAACTGATAAATCCAAGAGTGTGGTTTGAGCCCAACGGCAGGACACTTAATTTTTATGTTCCTTAAAAGGGTAAGTCTGGTTATCAATAGCAATGATTCAATTGCTTTTTCATTATCATCAAATATTCAAGATAAAATATTAAAAACCAAACAGAAATCCTGAAATTCAAGCTTATTGAATCTTTCTTTTATACCTGTAGGACTTAAAAACTAGAAGAGGACTATGGTAGGGTCTAAAAGGACATGGCTTCACTTCCATTGTTTTACTTTGTGCTGTGACAAAATCCACATCTACAGAAATCTCCTGCAAAAGAAAATAATAATTCTGTAAGGCAAATAAGGCTGGGTGAATTCCAGATTTTAAAGAAAATATGAAATGTTCAGTTACCTGACCATGCAAAACCTTCTCTGTAATGCCTGTGGTGGTTTTTAAAATCAGCTGTTTTAGGCTGTCAGCTTTTGAATACAATTTTTGCAATTCACCAATTTTTAACCCTAGAAAAAGTTCTGGTTTTTCTACAGTATTTTTATTAAGTTTGTTTATGCATTCTTTGTTAGCAGTATCAGTGTGCTTAAGGTTAGGTTTAGTAAAATAATTGGATTCTAAAAAAGATCTTCTTCGCTCTCTGCTTGAACCAGACAAAATTTCATCATCAACATCATTTTCTTCAGTGTCCAGGGTTAATTTATCTTGTGTCAGATCATGAAGTGAGGGTTGAGGTAAAGAAAATTCGGGTTCCTCTTCCACAACTGGAGAGATATTTTGTTGTTCCTTTGCTTTAAGGGCACGGGCTTCTTTTAATTTTTGAATTTTCAGGGCATATTCATATTCTAGCTTTTGTAACCGTCTTTTCTCCATAGCAATTAGTTCTGCTGAATGCTTTCTTGGACTTGATACTGGAGAACTGTCCAGTCTCATCATTTTGTTTGGCTAAGGGAGAAAAATGATACACGTATTTTACATCACTGTGATTTTATAAACAATTTTTGGTAAGATAATTGTGCTATCCCCACCATACAATGCCAACATTATAAAACTAAATCAATATGGAGAATAAAACAGAGTTTAACATAAGTAGCCAAAAGTTTTGCTAGTTAATCTATGACTTATGACAAAAACAAAGTCAAGACAAAATAATAAAGTAGACATCCAAAAATGTGGATGTCATTTAAAAACAAAGCTTTAATCTTAATCTCTTGGAATTTACAGCAAAGAGTTACTTTATATATACATCTTACCCTTAAAACTATCATAAAAACTTTCTGCTTTCCAAAAGTAAAATATTTCTATAAAACCCTCACCCCAAAGCGATCTTGTTCCAGTTTACGTTTTCCTATTTCTTTACTGGCCACTGCCTTTGCCCGAGCAAGCTCTTCTCCATATTTTAGAGTCAAAGCTTTCTTAATTGTAACACGCTGTTGAACTCTGTGAATCTGAAAAATATAGAATAATCCTGAAAATGTAAATGAAAACCTTAAAACAGGAAATTTCTTCTTCTCAAACACCGTGGCTTTTGAGCATTCAACTGAAAATAAAAATATTCCAATATTATTTCTCAACAAGAAACTATAGGTTATGCATATTTTGCTGGCTTTAGTATACAGTGGTTTGTCTTACAGAAAATTTGGCCTATAAAAATGTGTAGTAAACAGGAGACTACAGTATTTTAAAATAATTACTTGTTCCTGAAGCTTCTTCAAAAACATTCTGTTAACATTAAGAATTTTTTCAGTTGCTTGAAGCTGTTCTGTAAGTTTTGTAATCTTTGCTTCAGCATTTCTAACAGATTCTTTCTTCTTAGCTTCTTGTTGCACTAAATTCTTTAAAACAGATTCATCTTTCATCAAGAGAATCCTAAATGAGAAATAACAAAATTCTTGTTAATGTTTCCCTACAAGAGCAGACTGTCAGAATAAAAAAATTTTCAAAGTAATAACACAATTTTTAAAAATGCATCTACGAGACACAGATAAAAATGTAAAGGGATGAATATTTTTATATTCATCACACAGGTATTTAAATTAACATTGCTACACTGATAATAGTAACTATGAGACTGATCTTTTAAAAAAAAAAATTTAAGCCTGAGGTAACGTGAATTACTGTTGAAAACTTGTAGTAAATATTCAACGTTGGGCCAGGCACAGTGGGAATGCATTTCCCTAGTTCAAGCGATTCTCCCGCCTCAGCCTCCCAAGTAGCTGGGATTACAAGGCATGCACCACCATGCCCAGCTAATTTTTTTGTATTTTTAGTAGAGACAGGGTTTCACCGTGTTGGCCAGGCTAGTCTCAAACTCCTGATCTCAAGTGATCCACCCACCTCGGCCTCTCAAATTGCTATGATTATAGGCGTGAGCCACCGCGCCTGGCCGGTATTTTTATTTAAACATTAATTTCATTACTTTATGTAAATGTAGTGTCATTCAACAAAATGACAGACTTCTACATTCTACAAAGTTTAAGTGAGAAAATGTATAATCTTATAGTACGCTTATTAATAACATACACCACAAAAATGTATTTCTCTACCACAGGAACAATTAGATATGTGAAGATAACAAGGCTCACCTATGTTTTTTCAGTTTTGATTCTGCATCTGTAACCTGCTTAGTAACCATTGCTATCCTGCCAATACCATCAATTTCCACATCAGAGTTTGCTGGGGATGATGAACTTGTCTTCAGCTGATCTGATTTAATCAAACGCTGTTTCTCACGGCTAAAATTATCAAAAAGGATATATGCATTACACCCAAGAATAAACTTAAACTATTTTTAAAATGTATTCTATTTCATGCAGTAACAATATTAATCACACCGACTAATAATAAAGATGATGACCAATATGCAAGACCCAAGTCAGCATTCAAAGTTGATAGTGGAGTCCTTCTCTTTGAGTGTTTTCATCTTTTTTCTAAGCTGGTTATGTCCTAGCACATCACTCTATTCAAGTGTATGTATGACCATCCAGCACCATCTTCTGTGTGAGTTATAAAACATTAACTCTGTATCTTGGATAAAACTATCATCACTCATTCCCCAGTGCCAAGAAACTCTATAAGAGAAGTTTTGAAAACATCACATACTTTTAATGTTAATTACATAAAATTACACTTACTTGGCAATCTCTTCCTTTAACAATCTATATTCAATCTTCTTTTCTTCAGGCAAAGCCTCCGGTGTTCGCAGAGGATCATTTTCTTTTTCAGATTTTGGAGGTACTTTCGGTTTTGAAGCTTGCTAAAAAAAAAAAAACATTTGAAGTCAACTAGATCATCAGCTTTCCAAAATTCCATACTAAGATTTATATTTTACATTGCAACCCAGTGTATACTGAATTTATTTAGAAATACCTGAATGTCATCATTTTCTATTCTTTTTTCTAAAACAATGTTGGTTGATAACTACTAAATTGTATACGCCACCAAGTAGTGAAGATCTACAGTCTGAAAATCATTGAATTAAATCACAGCTAAACAACTACTGAAATAGGGAAAAAACGATAAAAGTTGTACTTAGAGAATACATTTTAATAAAAACTGTTTTCTGGTAACACAACACAACTCTAAAACAACAGTCTCCTTACTACACAGAACAATTATCCAACCAATTTTACTATTTTGAAAAAGGAAATACTTAATAGGAAACACAAATAATGGAAACTTTTAATAGTAAAATCAATCTACATTGATACATGCTTCATTATATAAAGTCCTAATAGCACAAATACTTAAAATATTTCCACAAATCAATGTTATTAAAAATCTATAACTTTATGGTTTAATTTTCAGGAAAAAATAAACTTTACTGATCATCAAAAGGTCATCTTTCTTTCCACCTTTAATTATTGCACTTACCTCAGCAGTTCGTCTTGCTTCTTTAATCATGGACTCTAATCCACCAAAAACACTATTTGTTGACTTGGAAGCCTCTCCATCAGATTCACTATCATCTGAATCATTTAGTGTTACAACCACTGATTTATGCTTTGGAAGCTGCAAAGACAATATATTTATTACTCGTGATAACAAAAGGATGTCATTTAACCTTGTTCAATTTCAATCCACAAAAATAATGGGCTCCAAGTAGACAGTCTATGGCTCCTTCTAGGGTTGTATTACATAATCCACTGAGTCGACCAATACTGGTTATATGACTGAGACATAAAATGTTGTATATTCTTTAAGACTTTCTATTCTATAATTACTCTCATTAAAATTTTATTTTCACTAACTTTCTATTATAAAGAACCACAATGCAATTTAAATTAACTCTTTTAAAACCAAAGAAAAATTTTGTTAATTTTACATAATAATTATCAAAATTCTGTACTTTGTGGTTACATATAGAGGGTAAATTGCCAAAACTGGCTTACCTAACAGGAAAGATTTCAACTTGTCTTTGTTCTATTTATTTTACTTTGAAGCCATTACAAAACAAGGTAGAAACAAACTATCATTTCAACCTCCTTAATAAACATCATAAATAATTTCTTCCATCATAGTGTAGTCATTGGTTGGAAAACATACACAAAGTATACAAAGAGATGGGAGAAATAAAAAACATGCAATTTGTTAAAATTTTGACTCCAAAAAGATAGAAAATCTGAATGAGCCCATTTCTATAGAAAAAAAGCTGAAGAAATGTCAGAGGAAAGTACACCACTCTGATGAAAACAATACCTCCCCCAACACACTATCACCAAACTCTTACCAGTTTTCAAGTGAAGGTGTTGCTCTCATTTTATCATTAATAAATTAAAAATAAATTTTAAAAATTTGTATTTATATGTGAATATATGTGTGTATATAAATAAACCAAGGGGTAGAAAACAGGACAGCTAAACTTCATAGAAATTTATCATAACTGTTTGAATAAAAGTAGCATTAAATTTTTGTTTTTACCGAGATCACAGTTCGTGGAAGACGGGGTCCTCTGTGAAACTTTGGATTCTGTATCCTAGGCTGAGACACTGTGTTAATACTGACTATTGATAGATTGCTTCTTGGCACAGGATGTGAATTGTTCAGAACTGGAGGTGAAGGTGGGTCACTATTACTGGATGTTTCCTACATAAGGAAGAGAAAGACATTAAACATTCCTAAATAAAAATAAATTTCTGCCACCTTTAAAAATCTTGAGCATGTTAGAATTATCCCCACTTTGCTGAAAAGCCCAATGATGCCCAAGTAACCAGAAAAAAGTAGGACTACCGTAAAGCTAAGCTCAAGAGCACCACCTAGAGGTTTAGGTACCTAAATTACCTCTGGCTTAAAAGCTCTTTTATTTGCTAGAGATTTAAGTAGTTCTTCTCGAAGCAGCATTTCTTCCTCCTCTTCCTCATCTGCAAAAGGTGGTTTTGGAGGCTGTTCTGGATCTTCAGGTGGGAGAGGTGGTAATGGTGGTAGAGGAGGTAGAGGTTCAAGAGAAACACACAAGCCTTCCACATAAGGCTGGCTCAAAGGTGGCAGAGACTATTTTTTAAAAAAAGAAAGAATTACAACGCAAATTTTATCAACTCAAATGCTTCTCTCTGCAGCAATATTAAACTAGAAAAAAATAAACTTTACATTATTATTTTAGCTGTAAATATAGTAAGCTAAGTATATGTTAACCTCAAAACAAACCAGAAATCAATAGCCAACCACGAAAAAGTGTTATTTTTACAATTTTAAAAAAAATCAACAATATTTGAAACATTTATTAACTTCAAGGAAAATTATAGAAACTTCTCTGTTCCAATTCTTATATCCATTTAGCATTCTAGAAGATATAGATATCAAACTATACAGGGTCCTTCCTTCTAGATGACTACCTGAAAGCAAGTAGAGGTACTGAAACCCAAGACATAATATTTCAGTAAAAAATAAAAATTAGAAACCAAGGGATTCTGTGAATAATAGTCCAGAGTACTTTAATCATTAATTAAGTATCAAGAAGAATCACCACTACTCTCTTAAAATGGCTTCTTAAAGAATATCTATAAAGGAAACTAATTTTACACAAATCCCTAAATTTGGATATGTATTTGCATCAAAGATCTTCCACTATTTCCCTTGGCATTTAGTTCATTTATTCATTCCCAAAAAGAAAACATTACAACGAAGAAAGTGCTGTTTTCTCTCTCACTATCGGCTCTAATATTCCCCTCACCATATATGTTCTAGAAAGACACTAGACGTCTTTCCTGAAACGGAAAAGTTCCCTCTTACACCTACTGAGAGATACTCAATTTGATCTCTAGGTCCTCTCAATCTAAAAATAATGTCAAAACTTTTAATGTGTGATTCCTCTACTTCCTTTTTTTCCTTTTCCTTTTATTGTTTTTATTTTTTTGTTTTATTTTTAGTGGGAGGACTGGAGATGGGGGGGAAAAGAAATTAACTTCATAGAAAATGCTTTTCTTTTGCTGGATTTTCAAGTTAAAAATAACCATTTTTATGAAAAGAGGAGAAAGGAGAGTATTAATTTTTAGAAGCATCCTAATGCATGTAAATTCCAATTCCCTAAAAAAGAGACAGTCCAAAACAGTAGATAACTTCTGTTTTTGAATAAATTTTCTGAGTAGCTACTATCTGAGAGTAAAGTGAAGAAGGAAACATGATAGGTACCGAAAAGTCAACATGAAATTAAAAATTAGCTATGAAAAAAATCTACCAAATGGATAGCTTGCTGGTATAATCAACTGTTTATTCTACGTATTTCATTGCTATTAATTCTTGGTAAGCAATTCTGATTTTTTAAGCCCTCTTCAAACCTAACCATTCGTTTTTAAAAACAAATTAGAAAAGACAAGACAAAATAATTTTCTTAGAAATCAATTCTGACTTACAGAAACCTGAGGTGGTGGAGGCAAAGAAAGAGATGGTGCTGGAGAAAAATACCCCAATGAACATTCAGAGAAAAATGGCGGTTGCACTGGTGAAGGAGCTGTAAAAAAATTTTTTGTTAAGAGTTTAATAACAGAAATACTTCATCAGGAATATATTAAGTTTATGTTATGTTTGAAGAAATACATCTAGGTGGAGTGCAAATTAGATTTTATCAACCTCTGATAAAATCTTTAAACCCCTCATGAGTCCACCTCCAGCCATTTAAAATTGTCATATCATCATAAAGTCAGCCATTCACTTTAAACTAATAATTAGTCCCTCAAAACTCTCACTTTGTTCCACTTTTAACCTAATGATGAGAACAGGGAATAAAGCAGGAAAAGACAGAAACATACTTTAAAAAAACAAACAAAAAAAAACACAAGCATATTTTTTAAGAAATAATGAAACAAAAAATTCCCTTAAATTCTGCCAAAGTGCCCTAGCCAAAGGAAAACAATGATGTGGTGACTTCATTATTCCCTTCTTGTGGAGCAAAAGAAAGTTGAGGACATGGACCATATAAGCTGTGTTGAAAGTAAATAAAACTAGGAATGAGAAGAATTACTTAGTGTATTTAGTCAATAAGGTGCACATTTTTTCACATTTTAATTTTGAAATAATTACAATTGATGCATCTCAGCATTTTTCTTCCTTGGTAGCAGATAAAAATAATTGTGTATTTTATCTTCAATGACTTGTTAGGCTCACTGAAATACAGCAGTTTCAAAGACTACTCTTACTACCCTACCCACTAACTATATAATCAGAGAAAATCTAACATTTCTTCTTTATCCCAGTTGTCTCACAAGTCAATACATTATTATCCACATGCCTTATATGGGGTTGACTTGAGTCCCAAATGAGATAATCTGAATATACACTAATCTTTGGAACATTTTACATAGCGCTGCAGATGTGGCTGCTGTGTCACATTTGTGTTATTAGGTGGCAGAGAGAAGAGAGGCTATGTCTATGCTCAGTGTTCTGCCCCATGAACATTTGAATGTTTAATAGTCAGACACTTGATGGTGCTATTGTTTTATGGACTTGGCATGTTTTCCCTTCCTAGTATCTGGGAGAGAGGGTGGACCTAGTGAGTGCAGTGATCTCCGAGGAAAGCCCTCCAGGCTGCACTATCCTCATCCAGATTTAACCAGCCCTGACTCACTGCCAGGTGCCAGGAGAGGCTTCTGAGGACTTTCTGACCTTTGTGTTGGGTCAGCCACTAGGGGGTCTGAAAGGACAGTGGGAAGGTAGAGGGTGCCCTCAGCAAGAGTAGCCTTCATTCATGAATTTTAGAAACTAGTGGTAGGAAAGATGAAGTCCATTATGTGCTGGTTCATGCTACCCACCATGTCAGGATCATCCAGGAGGACAAAGAACTAGGCAAGTGTTTGCTGGTGTTTGATTCAGTTAATAGTATTAACAGCAGCCACTTTTACTATGCTCTTGATTCTGTGTCAAGCTTTCTTGTTATTTATTTTTGAGACAGAGTCTCACTCAGTGCCCAGGCTAGAGTGCAGTTTTATTGTGCTCTTGATTCTGTGTCAAGCTTTCTTGTTATTTATGTATTTATTTTTGAGACAGAGTGTCGCTCAGTGCCCAGGCTAGAGTGCAGTGGCACCATCTCAGCTCACTACAACCTCCACCTCCCAGGTTCAAGCGATTCTCCTGCCTCAGGCTCCTGAGTAGCTGGGACTGCAGGGGTGAGCCACCACTACTGGCTAATTTTTGTATTTTTAGTAGAGGCGAGGTTTCACCATGTTGGCCAGGCTGGTTTTGAACTGCTGACCTCAGGTGATCCTCCCGCCTCGGCCTCCCAAAAGTTCTGGGATTACAGGTGTGAGTCACCGTGCCCAGCCATTCTTGTTTTTTAACACAGGAAAGAAGCTGACAGAACTTGTGACTGGCTTACAGTGTGAGCACTGGCCAGAAAGACCAGGTGGACTGGCCCCAGCCCAGATCAAGATGCAGAGGCCAAGATGTGGGCCTTGCCCTGTGCCAGAAGGCTGGTTGGAACAGAGGTGCAGATACAGGCTCAACCTGCTCTGGGACCACCAGTGGTGCTCAAGGTATTTGCAGCCTCAGAGCTTGGCTTTCCACAAGTCCACCCACCCCCAAGGCCATGCAACTGCAGTTCCTGCTCTGCTTTCATTACAGGGAACGGGCAGGCTGGCACTGGGATGCCCACTGCCTCTGGCCTCTCTACCTTGGTGGCACTGTGTGCTCCAGCTGGCCAGGGGCAGCTGCCGGGACCACCCCATCATTTTAGTATTCTGATTTTTAAGTTGTTCTGCCACTGTGGTATCCTAGTGAAAAAAAATAAATAACCTTCTGGCAATTTCTGAACTGCCTGAAACCTCAGATCCTAAACTAGTTTTTTACCGTATTTGAATTCTCTTGGTTTTTTTTTTCCCCCGCCCGGCGAAAAACTCTATATGGAAAACATTCTTTTTTAATACAAGATAAAGTGAATTAAAAGATGTTTTTAATGCACATTTCTTCAAATATAATATGTCTGTGTTGGCAAAATTTGAGAAAAAAATTGATCTTGAATGGAAAAAAATACATATATATAAATATCCGCAGTTAACGTGGCAAAAAATTAAAATTTGACAAAGCCGCTTAGAGAGTATGTTCTCTATATGTTTCACAAAATCATTTAAAAAGCATAGATCATAAAGTTATTTTATAGAAATAAAGTATTAATAATATTGTCAATACTTGGGAATTATAATGAATCATCTCCAAGAATCTGAAAATAAGAAAATTAAAGATTGACCAAAGCAAGTTAAATTGTGTTATCAAAACATAATATAAGACTATCAAACACCAGCTTAAAGTAACAACCTGAAAAATGAGCATTTTGGTAAACACTAGCCAAATAATACATATTTTGTTTTGTCTCTAGTCTAGATACACCAAAGTAGGATTCCAGTTTTGATTTGGTCTCACTATGTGACTATAGGGAGAAATACACTGATCATGTGTTCTTCCAAATTCTCCAGTTCCTGGAATGCCAACTGCGTTCTGTTATCTGCCTCAGTCTTAAGTGTTTTAAATTATTTGTGAAGGAATAGGTCTCTCACAGCCAATCACCCCTGAACATCAACAAAATCAAGTCTCTGGCCCTCAAAGATAAGTCAGATTCTAGACTATGCAACCTAAAGGAGAGTTACAGCCCTGACCAGTTCTAACCAGCCTTTCCTGAGATGCCACTAGTACTATCACTTTCTGTCTCAAAATTTCTACAAATTATCGTACTAGAAAGAGACAGGAAGCCAAATAGCAAAAAAGGAATTTTGTTCTTTGACTAAAGCAGAAAGTATCTTGGATATAAAGATCAAGAGTTTGTTTTTTTAAAGAGTAATGTTCTCATCTTTCCCATTCTTCACTTTTTATTTTTTGAGACAGAATCTTGCTCTGTCACTCAGGCGGGAGTGCAGTGGTACGACGTCAGCTCACTGCAACCTCCACCTTCCAGGTTCAAGAAATTCTCATGCCTTAGCCTCCCAAGAAGCTGGGATTAAAGGCACATGCCACCACACCCAGCGAATTTTTGTATTTTTAGTAGAGACAGGGTTTCGCCATGTCAGCCAGGCTGGTCTCCAACTCCCGGCCTCAAGCAATCTGCCCACCTCAGCATCCCAAAGTACTGGGATTACAGGTGTGAGCCACTGCACCCGGCCCAATCTTCACTTTCTAGAGCAAACAGTTAACAGAGTTTAAACAATGTCTTATTTATTTGTTTTTTAATTTAAAGGCTATCTAGAAACACTCGGAAATAAAGGTTAATATTACTTATTTGAGGTTTGCTCTCTAAGTATTTACAACAACAAATAATGTCTATCGCCATACAGTTCATCAGCAAATCTCACTTTCATTACACATTTCTTTAAAGGTTTTGAGTACCATAATGACTATTCTCTATTTAATACATGTAAATACACAAAGGTTTCAAGTTTTGGCTCATACCTGGAGAACTGGTTTCACTATCTGTATCCATAGCAACTTCTTCATAGTTATCATACTGATAAATGCCTCCTCCACTATCAGTAGGTTGCTTATCTAAGGATCGCCTCAGGTCAGGATCTGAAGACTAAGTATACAACACTTTTTTAGTTTCAAAGCATTTTCTGTCTTGGGTTACAAATCACAAAAGAACTGATAGTTATCTTCTATGGAAGAGTATCAAAAATCATGGTGATTCAGTTAGATGTGCCTATCACATCTTTGGGAAATTCAATTCAAATGATAGGTACACTGGTTGACATTTTATAACTGTATAATCAGATAGAAAATGGAATTTCCAAAGTACGAGCTATACAGACGAAATCCCCCATTGTTAGCTGAGCCACTAAATAATTAGCTCTTCCTGTATAAAATGACACCAAACTCTTGTACACTTATGACTTCTGTATGATTAAGAAACTAGAGGAATACAAAAACAAGTTTTATGTCATCACGACTACATACAGAATATTTCCCCAAAAATTCAAAAACATTTTAATTATAAATAAATTAATGATACCTGAAAGCTATAAATTCTGGGTAAATGTGTTTATCTATTGTATGTTGTTTTCTTGTCTACTTCTTACTATGTTTCACTCAGAGACAGTTTATAATAAACTAAAAACTCGCAAAACCTCTCGAGAAGGAGGTAAAGAATAATGTGCAAATAATACCATATTTATCTCTAGAAAAAGATTCTATTGGCCTGGCGCGGTGGCTCATGCGGTCGGGAGTTCAAGACCAGCCTGGCCAACATGGTGAAACCCCGTCTCTACTAAAAATACAAAAAAATTAGCCAGGCATGGTGGTGGGTGCCTGTAATCCCAGCTACTCGGGAGACTGGGGCAGGAGAATTGTTTGAACCTGGGAGGTGGAGGTTGCAGTGAGCCGAAACATGCCATTGCACTCCAGCCTGGGCAACAAGAGTAAGACTCCATCTCAAAAAAAAAAAAAATTTCAAAGTATAAATATTTACAATATTCCTTGCTTAAGCAAACCTAACTCCAATTAACGAATTTACTCTTTAATATCCCTCTACTCTTCATTAATACATTCTCAAGTATACTCTTTTTGGGCTTTTTTCTTCTTTTTGGGTGGAGAGGGTAAAAGAAGGGAGGGAGAGAGAAAAAGACAAGACGACAAGTATATTTATATACATAGTAAATGTTCAACAAATGTTTGACCACTAAATACAAAATAGCCACATGCACTAAGGTTATTACTATATCATGATTTAACATTTATTAAGGTAGTCCATACTAGTCATGACACACTTCTCAATCTACATTACTAAACAATGAAAAACTAATGAAATTCTACCCCTGTACTTAAGACTTAACAGCCATTTTCAGAATAAGTTTTCACCACAATTTAGTAATCCTACTTTCATCTAAACAGAAAATCGTAAAAAACCTAAAAGCAGTCTCTGCTAATAATAATTTTAGCCTTCATTTCTTCTTCCAATACCTACAACTATAAAAGATGCTTTCCCAATTATAACCTACCTTCCTTTTTTCCAAGAGTTATTTATAAAATAAACTTCCTTATTTGACAGAATCTATGAAATATGACTTTAAGGAAACTTAGAGTAACGTTTTGATTTTATATTTTTGCATTTCTTACTTTACTTCTTGATCTCCTCTTGCCACCAACCAATTTCATGAATCGATTGTACTGTTCTTCCTGATTTGAGAGATCTCGAATTTTTCTGATTTCTTCCTCTCTTTTCCTTCTCTCTTCTTCTTCAGCTTGTTTCCGCTGATCCTCTTCTTTCTGTCTTTCCTGCTCTTTTTGTTGTTGTAGTTTCTTCCATGCCTTTGTTTGCTGCTTCCTCAATGCTTGTTTAGCTTTAAATAAAAAACACATAAACATTAGCATCTGTTAGGAGATAAAAGAAAAATAAGAGTCTTAAAAAATATTTTCATTATTGATTAATCAGTGATGATGCTCCTAAGTTGTTTATATAAGATTGTCTTCCATTTTAGGGCCCTGTAATTCCCCAAACTCAAAACTCTGAATTAAAATCTCAAAACTATACTTACACATAAATTCAACTAAAAGAATTTAACAGGCAGTGGCTCACGCCTGTAATCCCAGCACTTTGGGAGGCTGAGGCGAGTGGATCACCTGACGTCAGGAGTTTGAGACCAGTTAGCCCAACACCGCCAAACCCCGTCTCTACTAAAAATACAAAAAATTAGCCAGGCGTGGTGGTGGGCGCCTGTAATCCCAGCTACTTGGGAGGCTGAGGCAGGAGAATCGCCTGAACCTGGGAGGTGGAGGTTGCAGTAAGCAAAGATCATGCCACTGTACTCCAGCCTGGGCGACAAGAGCAAAACTCTGTCTCAAAAAACAAAAGAAAAGAAAACAAAACAAAAACACAAGAATTTAATAAAAATGATCACCTGTAGTGCTAACTTTTTTGGCCGAATGTGTTTTTGTACTTGTTTTAACTTTTTGCTGTACAGTTTTCGTCTTAGTCAACTTTTCTTTGCTTTCTTTCATCACCTGCTGTTCTTTTTGTTGCCATTTTTTACTGGCTGACTGAAGAGCCAAAAGGCGAAGCTGTAATTCAGATAGTTCCTCTTCATCTTCACCAAGTTTCTTTAAAGCAAAAAGAAAGAGCTAAAATTTTTTAATTCTATTATTTAGCTTACACATTTCATCAAGTCAAATCCTTTATGATAAAAATTTGAAGTGTGAAGGCAAATATGACAAGGCAAATACAGATAAAATAAGTAAACTAATTTACTTCCCACAGCCTGAGACTCTAATGTAATTCCTAAAATACGAATAGAAGATGAGTCTGCAGAAGGTATGTGTATATATGTAATGTAGGGTTGGTAAGGCGGTACAACTGATAGAACACGATAATGCAAAAAAGAAAAGAGTTAGTAGCTAACATTTAAAAGGGCTTCCCAAACCGGAAAGAGTAAAAGTCTGATGGCAGCAAATGCAATGAAGAAATCAAGACCCAGGAGAGGTAAGGAAAGAAGAAGGAAGTGGTTCCCTGATCATGTGATTTGCTGGCCTCACCAGTAATAGAGAACAACAGACACACTGAATGTCAAGATTCAAACTTACAAATTTTCTTTTATGTGTATATTTTTTAATTCTTTAAATTACTATTGAAGGGAAAAATCTATAGAGATTTGCTTACAGCTGACTGTTATGTGTTCTAAGGCTACAGATATTTATCTGAATATTTTATATATTTTGAACAGACAAGACTTTTCTTCAGGAAAGCTAAAACAGGACAATAATGTTAAAAGCAGATGTCTGAGAACTTTTTTCCAATTGAAATAACTTTTGCATTTCACTTTCGAAATAGTTTAAAAAATTAATCTGTTCTCTCCATTATAGCAAAAATAGAACTGAAAAATGTCAGGCTCCCTAGAGGTTTTTAATTAGAGTCCATGGACTTTAATAAGGGGTGGGAGGATAGCTTTGGCTTCCCCACCCCTGAAGTTAAACACAAACCCTCTTTTTTCTTTATGTATGTGCATGGAAGGGAAAGGAAGAGTCAAAAAAGATTCCAAAAGATTAAGGCCCACTTATCTAATAACTTTTTCTTATAGGTAAATTGTAATTATATTTTCTCCTAAAATCCAATTAAATTCTTTCTATTGTTAAACATAAAGAAAACAGTGGATACTAACTAATGATTTCACCTGAATATGAACTACTATAAGCCCTAAACTACTGTCATACACTTCAGTACTTCAGTTTAACCAAACCAAGACAGTTACCTTTTCCACTGTTGGTAAGTACATGTAAGCAATAATTTTAAAATTATTATGGTTCTTTTTTAAATTCTACGTCACTTAAACGTATCAAATTCTATTACCTAGTACTGAAATTCTAGAGCTGTGCTGTTCAATATGGTAGCAATGAGCCACATGTGGCTATCTGAATTTAAATCAACCAAAACTGAATTTAAAAATTTGTACCTAAGCCACACTAATCACTTTTCAAGTTCTTCATAGCCACATGTAGCTAACAGCTACCATATTGGAGAATTCAGCTATAAAACATTTCCATTATTGTAGAAAATTCTATTAAACAGTACTCATGTACAGAGTTTAACTAAAATAAAGCTATCCTCACTGTTCCATTGAGACAAAGTCTTTTTGTTTTCTTGTTTTAAATTATTTAATTTTTTTCAACTTTGGATCTCACTATGTTGCCCAGGCTGGTCTCAAACTCCTGAGCTAAAGTGATCAAACTACCTCAGCCTTCCAGAGTGCTGGGATTACAGGCATAAGCCACCACGCCCAGTGACACTTTTGATTACTTTTTGCAACTACTCTCTTTGGAATGAAAGAAACCACTGATTCTGTCACCCACCTATATGCTACGTGAGGTAGCTACTTGAACAGCAAGAGCACAGAGCTAAGCTCGTTAGTTCCCACTAGTCAGACAAGCTCATTAAATTACTTGCTCTGACACTTAATTCCTATGTAACTTTAGGCAAGTCACTTAATCTACTCAAATGACTCTTACTTCATCTACAAAATGTATATAATGTCAACTTGATTCATAGGGTTATTGTGAGGGTATTAAAAAATGTGTATGTGTACGTTATATTATCATTTCTAAATTCAGGGCCATCTTTTTCCTAAAGCTCCTAGACTATTTAAATCATTTCAATTTATGCAAAAAAACAAACTGAAATCTCAAAAGAAAAAAACTACAGATATTTCAGATCTCTAATTCAACAAATTGAAAAGGCTTGGGTTATTGAGTGCCTGTTATACGTCAAACACAGTGCTTGAGGCTTCTGTGTTTCATTCTACTGAAACCTCACAACAACCCAGATAACAGAAGACATTAAGTTCAGTTTGTAGAAAAGAATATAGAAGCAAGCAAAGGCTAAATAGTTTATACAAAGTCACTCAGTTAACAAGAAGTGGAGGTAGAATTTGACACCAGGTGAAGGTCTACCTTACTCCAAAAGCTTACCCACACAGGATAACACACAAAAAATGGAGAAAATATCTGGATCAAAATTAAAGGTTTCAAAAAACAAATGATTAAAAAAAAGATCCCGTATGAATATATATAACACTTTAATTAAACATAATTTGCAGAACCCAGGGAAAAGAGACTGCAAGATGTCGATCCAGAATTTCTTTAAGGCTTATGTCCAAATGGAGTTATAGGAATGATGAAAGAAAATAAGTGAAAGTAAGATAGACTTCCCTTACAAAAGAACAAAATAAAGCAATGCAAAAATGGGTCTTACAGAGATGATAGTCTCACAAAGCAGTATCTTACCTTTTCAGACAGAATATCTGAGGTACTAATTCTTCTTGTTAAATTTTGTTCTTTATCTTGTAATCCTTTAAAATAAAATAATATCTTTTGAATAATCCAAAAGATAGCCACAATCTAAAATAAAATAATCCTATATAATATCTGGTAATTATTTTAAAAGAGATCATTAAAGGGTCTCATTTTCTCAATCTCTCAACCAAAAGGAAATACCATTAAAGAGAATGAAAATCTGAACAAACTCTTATCAGCCTCATTCCTCAAAGTTATAAGGCAAAATGATTCAAAATATTAAAATAAAGCCACACTTTTAATAAAATGACTTCTGAACTAGAAATAGTCACTTCAAATGAGAAGAGAATTTATAAAGCATAGAAACAAGCAGCAACACTTAATTACCAAGTGGATTATCCACACTGATAGAATATAATGATGACTAAATTAATCCAGTCCTCTAAATTGGAATGAATGCAATGTTTACAGACTGTATTGGATTTGTGCATTAGAGAATTGGTCATTTACCTAGAAAAGCATCAGTAGAGGCAGCTTAAGTATCAATAAAATTAAGTCCATCCATACATTTTTTCCAGATATCTAGCCTTGGGCCCAGATGACTGATGAAATAATGTACAAAATCTTACATTTATATATTACCTAATCTACAACAGCTTTAAACATCACATGATAAAGTTACAGAATATCTACAATCCTGTTGAGATACTTTTGTAGCTAAAACAGATTATGTTAAAAACTCAGAAATCTTTCCTTAAGATGACAAAACTGAAATTGCAAAGCTAGGATTTAAACTAGATCTTAATTTTAAGTCTGGTGTTTTTACCATAACACCACACCTGTCAATGTTCCAAACATCCTAATTTGACTGCTCAAGTGAACCAAAGAATACGTGACTTATTCAATAAATAAATGACTAATCTAGCATCTAAATCAATGTAAATAGAAGGCAATGACCAAATTTCAAGACAAATGAGTTCTGTTGAAAGGCTTAGTCTATAAATGTGAATTTGTTGCAACATGACTGATACATTAGAAAATAATTCGAGCAGCCAGGCACAGTGGCTTATGCCTGCAATCCCAGTGCTTTGGGAGGCCGAGGCGGGTGGATCACCTGAGGTCAGGAGTTCAAGACCAGCCTGGGCAACATGGCAAAACTCTGTCTCTACTGAAAATACAAAAAATTAGCCAGGCATGGTGGTGCACGCCTGTAGTCCCAGCTACTCGGAAGGCTGAGGCAGGAGAATCGCTTGGACCCGGGAGGTGGAGGTTGCAGTGAGCTGAGATTGTACCACTGTACTCCATCCTGGGTAACAGAGCAAGACTCTTGTCTCAAAAAAAAAAAAAAAAAAAGAAAAGAAAAGAAAAGAATTTGAGCATAACACAAATTTATATTTACTTATGTGTGATTTGTCTCAGAGAAACACTAAGAATGCAGAAAACTGCACCCAAGTGATCTGAGCCATGTAGGAATACACAAACAACATATACTTCAAACATCTATCAAATACCCAAGTTCATTGCGTGTGTTATAAGCCACAGCCATCCACATCTGGTATTACAATTTACTGTCTGATTTCAGGTAACACTCCTTGTTTTACTTCATAATAACTCATAAGTAGCAAATATTCCACTTCCACAGGTGTACTTCAGGTCTATTTTATGGAATGCTGACATGTTTACTTTAATATTTCACACTTTTTTTCTCCATTTCACATGCAAAGCTGTGCTATCATTTTTCATTTATTCCTATCTTTTTTTTATATGCCACGGACAAAGTTTTTGAGTGTTGTTCCTCTAACCCCATTTTCTCCACACACCCTATTGTTTTTATTGCATAATTTTGCAGTGTGGTAATTTTGGGAAATGCATATGTCCCACTGTAGAAAAAATGATCACGCTTTTAAAAACAACAGAATAGTAATAACTATTATACAAAAATAAACAGGGAAACATTAAACACTAAATTATTCTCCTACATGAGAAACTTATGAGTTTCATTAAGTCATGAGAAATCTACTGGTTGATTAGGATCTCACTTGTCTATAAAAAATGGCAGCACCTCCCTTTAACGTAGCATAGAGGCAAGTATCTATTAACATAGCAGGTACCTTATGACTACATTGCTACCTTAAAAATAAATACAATAGGCTGGGTGTGGTGGCTCATGCCTGTAATCCCAGCACTTTGGGAGGCCAAGGCGGGTGGATCACGAGGTCAGGAGATCGAGACCATCCTGGCTAACATGGTGAAACCCTGTCTCTACCAAAAATACAAAAAATTAGCCAGGCGTGGTGGCAGGCACCTATAGTCCCAGCTACTCGGGAGGCCAAGGCAGAATAATGGTGTGAACCTGGGAGGTGGAGCCTGCCGTGAGCCGAGATCACGCCACTGCACTCCAGCCTGGGCAACACAGTGAGAGTCAGGAGAATGGTGTGAACCTGGGAGGTGGAGCTTGCAGTGAGCTGAGATCACACCACTGCACTCCAGCCTGGGCAACAGAGCGAGTCCGTCTCAAAAAAAAATTAATAAATACAATAAATTCAATAAATACAAATTTCAGACAATAAATATAACTTTACACAAAGATTATAAATGCAGGTTTAAACTGATCAAATGGGTAGCTAGACATTGTTCTACCACTGTCATAGGTCTGTACAATAAAATTATCTCAAGTTTTACTCAAAACCTCCAAAATGAACACTGTTCTTGTCACACAGTATTTAAAATATTACCAACTGAAAGTCTAATGTGAGCCAAAGTCACCAGCACACAGGTAGTAGTTAAAACCATAATAATGAGAATATCCCTAGAAAATGGGACACTGAGGACATGACGAATTAAGAAATTACACAGGAAAAGTAATTATTTAAAACAAACAAAAGACAGAAAACAAAAATCAGAAAGTTATTTTTAAAATCCATTGCAGAAATCCCAAAATTTCAAGGGAAGAAACATATCACTGAATATAGTAGAGATGTCTACCCCCAATAGAATATTCTCAGCAATGCAGCCAGAGTGATGCCTTAAAAATATAAAACAGATTATGTCAGTCCTTTGCTCAAAACCCTGTAAGAGCTCCCCATTTCATTAGGAATAAAAAAACAAAGTTCTTACAAGGCTCTGTCTATAAGATCTGCCCCCTCCTGCCATCTCTAATCCCTTCTCTCCCATTATTCATTCCCCTCACTCTCCTGTATTAGCACAGGACTCCTTGTTATTCCCCAAACATGTCAGGCATCTTTCTGTATTATGGTCATTTCTCTAGTTCAGCGATGCCCAAACTTCAGCATGTAGCAGAATCAACAGAAGGGCTGGTTAAATACAGATTGCTAGGCCCCATTTGCAGAGCTCCCAGTTCAATAGATCTAAGGTAGAGACTGAGAATTTGTGTTCTGTCAAGTTCCCAGATAACGCAGTCCCCAGGAACCACACTTTGAAAATCACTGCTCTAGTTATTCCTTTTGCATAGGAGCCTCTTCCACCAGATATCCATTTGGCTATTCCTTTACTGTCTTCAAAGTCTTTCTTTAAATCTCACCTTCAAATAGACACCATGCTGACCACCCTATTAGTGCTGCAACCTGTATCCTCAATAACCCTTTCCTACCTACCCTGCTATACTTTTTCTCTTTCATAACAGTTAATTTACACATCATGTTTACTGTTTTGCCTTCTAAAATGTAAGCCCATGAAAACATAAGTGACTATTTTGTTCACCAATTTATTTCCAAGAGCCTGGAATAAAGTGCTCAACTAATTTTTGAATAAATGGAAGAATGAAATAAAAAACATCCACTAAAATTTGCAATTAGGTCACAGAAAACTACCATGAGTAGTTTCAGTATTGTGATGGGGGTAGAAAAGCAAACTGTATTGGGCTAATAAGGCAATGAGAAGTAAAGTCAAAAGCTGGTACCGACTAGACCTCTCAGAAGTCTTATTGAAAAGAGGAAGAATACTTGACATAATTTAAGAGAGAATGTAGGATGAGGTGGAAGAGGATTTCCATTTTTGGATGGAAAAGTCAAATATATTAAGAACACCCTAAGGAGACAATGGTTCAAGATAAAGCAGAATAAATAAAGCAAGGTCCCAGAGAAGGCAGAAGTTAGAGCCAGGAGAACAAGTTAAAACAAAATGGCCATGAACAAGACAGTCGTTACCCTCAGGGTGAAAGAACTGAAGTGAAAACTGATATGGATTACAAACAAGTTTATGGTCAGAAAGTGAAAAGCTGGAATTGAGTGTGATCACCTCCAATAAGAAGCAAGCTTGTATACGGACAATAATAAAGGTTGAGTAAAAGGCCTGCAAAAATTATGAAGGTATAGAAGAGTTGTCAAGAGATATGGAAAAAAGGCTCACCAATAACATAAGTTTGACAGTAGAGTCTTGCTGAGGATTGGTGGGGAAATATACATGTAGAAACATTTATATATATAATTTACTGATTCAGATGACATTTTAGTTCCTTTGATTTTCCTCCAATCACTCTTCCATACTGATGCCAGTTATTTTTCCAAAACACACATCTGATCACATCATTTTCTTGCTTAAAAATATTTAATAGCCCACCCAACGTTTAAAAGACAAAATTCAAATTCTTTAGCAAAATATTAAAGGCCTTCCCAATCCAACACTAACCTGTCCTTTTATAATTTTATGTCCAACCACTCACCAAAAAAATACCGTTATCTCTCACACTGCACACATATTTGATTAATCTCAATGCCCTTAAAAAGCCCTCTGTGCCTGTCTACTCATTTGATTCCTTCTGACTTCCCCAGTGGAAAAGATTCATCTTTCCAGATGTATATCAAACATTTACATCTCTATGAAACCTTTCTAAATCCAGGTGAGGATATTTAATCCTTCCCGTGTTACTCCAGGCTTTCACACATAACTCATATTATACTCCATGATAGAGATTTGTGTCTTTTCTATCCCTCTGTGTTATACTTCTCAAAACTGCTTGTGTAGAATCATAGTACTAAATTGAAGAGGGGAAAGAAAGGCATCTCCCTGAGAATGTGCAACCCAAAATAATCATCACTTAGGTCTGCAACCAAATTCACACCATATGGACAGCCAGTGAGGGTTGAACTGATTCCAAGGCTGAAGTCTTTAGCAAATTCTCTCTGGGGAATGCATCTTTGTCCCAGGTCTCAAAAACTTCCCACCACTAAAATTCAAAAAAAAACAACGACCATCTCATATTACAACAAAACAAAATCACTAAATGTTCAAGAAAAGAAAGTACCAAAAATGAGTAATAACAAAACAAACATCAGAAATCAAACCCCCAAAGACCTGAGATACTGAAAATTAGCAGGGATAGGAGATAAAACAAAACAGACCTATGGTTAATTTGTTTAAAGAAACAAAGATAAAGCTGAAAATATAAGCAGGGAGAAGAAAAGTGGAAAGAATGATCAAAGTGATTTGAAAACAAAACAAAAATGAAATAGTAAAACAAAAACTGTAATTGAAATGTAAAACTCAGTAAGTGGGCTTAAGGCAAATCGAATACAGCAGAAGAGAGAATCAGTAAAACGAAAGATGTATCAGAGGAAATTTTCCAGAATTTGTCAATTACAAAGTGACAGAAACTTAGAGAAATGAAGAGACATGAAAGATAAAGTATGATGACTTAACATAACATACATCTATACAGAGTTCCAAAAAAGAGAGAGAATGGGATAATATTCTAAGAGATAATGATCATTTTTTCAGAACCACTGCAAGATCCAATCCAGATTCAAGAAACAACAAATTCCAAGCTGGATACATAAAAAGAAATCTACAATCAGCACATCACACAGTTCAACTACAGAATATCAAAGACAAAAAGGATCTTTAAAACAACCAAAGAAAAAAGATTATCTTCAAATTGGAAACCATTAAGACTGATAGATGAGTTTTGAAAATCAACAATGGAAGCCAGAAAATATTGTCAGTAAGAATATAATTAGGGGCTGGGTGTGGTGGCTCATGCCTGTAATCCCAGCACTTTGGGAGGCCAAGGCAGGCGGATCACTTCAGGCCAGGAGTTTGAGACCAGACTGGCCAACATGGCGAAACCCCAGCTCCACTAAATACAAAAATTAGCCGGGCGCAATGGCATGTACCATAGTCCCAGCTACTCAGGAAGCTGAGGCATGAGAATCACTTGAACCCAGGAGGCGGAGGTTGCAATGAGCCAAGATAGTGCCACTGCACTCCAGCCTGGATGACAGGGAAAGACTTTGTCTCAAAAACAAACAAACAAAAAGCATATAATTAAACAACCTAGAATTCTAAACCCAGGGAAAATATCTTTTAAAAAGAGTAAACGGAAATCGTTTTCCACCCAGCAAAAACACATTTTTAAAAAAAAAGTCTAAAGAATGTATTTAAGCACAGAGCATGGTGGCTCACACCTGTAATCCCAGCATTTTAGGAGGCTAAGGCAAGAGGATCATTTGAGCCCAGGAGTTTGAGACCAGCCTAGACAACATACTGAGACCCCGTCTCTACAGAAATTTTTAAAACATAGCCGGGCATGGTAGTACATGCCTGTGGTCCCAGCAACTCAGAAGGCTGAGGTGGGAGGATCACCTGAGCCCAGGAGGTCAAGGCTGCACTGAGTCATGATCATACTCCTGCACTCTAGCCTGGGCAACACAGTGAGATCTTATCTAAAACACACACACACAGAGAATATATTTATACATATATAATTCCAGACATGATACAAAGAGTGAGCCAAGAAAGTGCTAAATATATAGGCAAAGCTAAGCAAATATCATTCTTTGTATTTCGGGGAAAGAGTAAGGTTCCTGATTAACTTTAAACACTGGTAGGAATATAAGACCAGAAATTTAGTATCCAACTTCCAAACTAGCAAATGAAAAAAAATTGTGTGAAGAAAAATAAGAGCCTAAAAAGAAAAAAAAGAAGAAGAAATAAAACCAAATGTCAATAATCATAAAAAATGTGAGTAGACTATACGTTCAAGCTAAAGGACAAAGATTGTCATACTGAATTATAAATTAAAACCAGCTCTATACTATGTACAAGTAATATCCGAGACATGAGGATACAGAAAGACTGAAAGAGTGGGAAATTATATAAAGAGAAAGATGATGTGGCTATTAATATAAGACAAAATAGTCTTTTAGGCAAAAACATCAGAGATAAAGTCACTACATAATGACTCAATTACCCACCTTCAAAGTATTTAAAGCAAAAAGTAAAAATCACAAATCCATCATCATACTGGCAAATTTTAACAAACTCCTCTTAGTAACTGATCAAGCATATCAAAAAATAAAAAAAGTGAACAACACAAAAAGCTCAAGTAATCTATAAATTCATTTCAAACATACACAGAACTCTTACAAAAAACTGATTACATACTGGACAATAAAGGAAGTCTCCAAGTATTTCAAAAGATTGGTTATCATAGCAATCTTATTTTCTGACAGTATGATTGACTTAGATATCAATAAAAAATACTGCTAGACAACCTACATGTTTAGAAGAAACATACTTCCAAGCAGCCTACAAGTCAATGAAAAATAAAAATTAGAAAATATTCAGAATGAATGAAAAAAGTTAAATAACCCAACTTGAGACAGAACTAAAGTCAAACTTTATGGCCTAAAATGATCTTAATAGGAGAGAGGCTGAAAACTGAGTTTAAAAACTTATGTACTTATTTCAGGGTAAATTAAAGAAGAGAGCAGGGAAAAAAAAGGTACAACTTATAAATACTACAGATAAAAAAGTAAAGGATTCTTAAGAACAATTTTTATAACTTCTGTAACTTACAGGAAATAGACACATTACAAAAAATATAGAGTTTACATAAACTGTCTTAACAGAAATAGAAAACACGAAGTTAGATTAAAACTTTCTCAGAAAAAAACTCCACCCAGGCCCAGACACTTTTATCAGCAAGATCTACCAAGTATCTCAGAATGTTTCCAATCTTAAACTATTACAGAGAATAAAGATGAAAACAGCCCCAACTAATTTGAGTATTATAACCTTACACTAAAAACTGTCAAGGAAAAAGAGGGGGGGGAAATTACAGGCTCTGAACACATAAAAAATTCTAAACAAAACACTAGCAAACCTTCATTTGTAATAGCCGAAAGTTGGAAAAACCCAAACATAATTGGGAAATGGATGAACTACAGTATGATGGGATACACAGAACTACTGACATATACAATTACATGAATGAATTTCAAACACATTATGCTCAATGAAAGAAGCTATAATGAAAGGCAATATACTGTATGATTCCATTAGTGTGACATTCTGGAAAAGGCAAAACTATAGGGACAGATCAGTGGTTACCAGGTGAACTAAGGGCTGAGGGACGGGATAACTACAAAGACACTTGGAGAAACTGTTTGAGGTTGATGAAAGAATTCTGTATCTTAATGGTAGCTGGTGATGGTTACCCACTGTCTACATTTGTCAAAACCTGAAGAACTACACACTTATTCATTTATAATGTTAAAAGATAAATTTTACTGTATATAAATTATATCTTAATAAAGAGGAAAAGAAAAAACAAGCCAAATCCATGATTTAAAAATGGTATATCATAAACTGTATTAAACGCAAGCATACAAGGGTGGTTTAATACTAGAAATAAATTATATAATTCATTACACTAACAAATTAAAATAAATTAGATGCTCATCCCAATAATGAAGAAAACAGATTTTGTAAACTTCAACATCCATTCACGCTGAAAATTTCAAACCAGGAATAGGAGTAAAACCCTCCTTTACCCGATAAGGGATACCTACAAAAAAATTAACATCATATTTAATGGTAAATGTCAAAACCATTTTCTTTAAATTAGGAAACAAAGGTGTCCACTATTATCACTTATGTATAACATTCTATTATAGAGGCCAGAATGTCAGGCAAAAAATAAATAAATAAATAAAGACTAAAAGTAAACAAAATTAGTAATTATTCAATGATATGAATGTCTACATAGAAAGTACAAAAGAATTTACAGATAATTACAATCATTTCAATGAAGTACACTGCCAAAACAAGTAGTTACTACTTTAGAGGAAGAAGAGTCATTACTAACTGAAATATTTAATTCCATTACCTTGACTAGAATCAGTAGTGTCGGATTTCAGGGAAAGTGGTTTTGCTCCATCTTTAACTTTTTTCAAACGGTTCTTATCTCCTGGTAAAGTCAATTTTTGCCTGAGTGGTTTTAATTCAAATGCCTGAAAAGTTTTGACTTGTGTTTTCTCCTCAGGAGCTACTTCTTTACTTGAATCCTTTGTAATACTGACATTATCAGTGCTAGTTTGGTCCTCGAAGTTCAATGTTTTAGGATCTTCCTGCACATTCTCTTCTTTGCTACTCAATGCTAGTTTTTCATCCTTATTGATGCATTCTAGTTCCAACTGTATTTGTTTATACTTTAAAAGCAAATCTTCAAAAGTTTCTTCCACACAGTTTTCATTTTTTGATGAATAATTTTGTTTTCTTGATGGAGACCTTCCAAAACTTTTGGCTGAACAGCATATTAAGGAAACCAGTTTCCAAAAATTTTCCACAGTTAAATTTAACAAAAAAACTTAGATTATAGATGAATTTTCTCCCTTTTTAATTTTTCAAGAAAAATGAATCGATATTTTTAAATTACTAAATTCCATTTAATGTATGTGCAGCTAATGCCCACTTTCATTACGTGCCCATATTTGAATTTAGTAAGTACCATATAAACAGTCCACTTACAAAATCACTAGTGTCATAATTACCAGTAGTATCCACAGACAGTCCACCTAGTTAGGTTATAGCATCATTCCTTCTGTGCCAGGAAAGTCCATAATTAGCTGTATGTTAGAGATTATTTTCTGAAGGAAGAGGGGAGAAACTGAATGCTTTGTCACAGATGCGGATAGTTTACACTTCAGGGGGCCAGGCGCGGTGGCTCACGCCTGTAATCCCAGCACTTTGGGAGGCCGAGGCAGGAGGATCACTTGAGGTCAGGAGTTTGAGACCAGCCTGGCCAACACAGTGAAACCCCATCTCTACTAAAAATTAAAAAATTAGCCAGGCGTGGTGGTGCAGGCCTGTAGTCCCAGGTACTTGAGACGCTGAGGCAAGAGAATTGCTTGAACTCAGGAGGCGGAGGTTGCAGGGAGCCAAGATCACACCACTGCACTCCAGCCTGGGCAACAGAGGGAGACCTCATCTCAAAAAAAAGAAAAAAAAAAACACTTTAAAATAGTACTCAAAATATATCTATTTTTCTCCTACAGACAAGGGAAAATGTTATGAAAATAATCTGAAGCAACTGTTCTTACTTTCTTCTCTAACACAGTGATACACAAAAGGTAACTTTTTCCTTAGAAACAGCTACAAAATTTCAAACTACAATTTTTATTCTAAACAATTCATACACGAGAATTGTTATACCTCATTTTTCCAGGCCAGATATTAGCAAGAGAAAAGACAGTACCTCCTGTGGTTTTAATACATCATTTATAGATTTTTTTTTTTTTTTTTTTTTTTTGAGACAGAGTCTCGCACTGTCAGCCAGTCTGGAGTGCAGTGGTGCGATCTCGGCTCACTGCAACCTCCGTCTCCCAGGCTCAAGCAATTCTCCTGTCTCAGCCTCCTGAGTAGCTTGGATTACAGGTGCGTGCCACCATGCCCAGCTAATTTTTGTATTTTTAGTAGAGATGGAGTTTCACCATGTTGACAAGGCTGGTCTTGAAATCCTGACCTCAGGTAATCCGCCCACCTTGACCTCCCAAAGTGCCGGGATTACAGGTGTGAGCCACTGCACCCAGCCTATAGATTATTTTCAGTTGGCTAGGATGTAAAATACAGTACCCCAAATACGGTTCTTCTGTTTAAACACCTCACAGGGCAAGCAGCAGAAAAGGTTTTTAAACTCTCCTGATGACCAGTTCTAAAAATGAGAATTACCATCATCTAAGAAACAAAAATAAGCAATAAGTACATCTGAAAATCTTAACAGTTCTACAGCAAAACTGTTCTAGTAAATCTCTGGTTCTCTGATCTCTTCAAAGCCAAGTATCCTGAAAGAAAACTAGTTTCTCTGTACCCTTCTTACCAAATGGAATCTGGTTTCTGTCCCATTAATCTAGAGAGACTGCTGTGGCTAAGTTTCCCTATCAATGTTTTCAAACTTTATTTTTTTTTACCTGACCCCTCTGAGAATCTGACACCATAAACCACTTCTCTCTTGGCTTCCATAACTCCGCATCTCCCTTTGTTTCCCTATTTGTGTTTTGTCTTTTAAGTCTCCATTGAGTCTTTTCTCTCTAACTTGTGAAATAATGGTGCTCTTCAGGGAGCACTACTTAGCCTCTTTCTCATTTTGAGCATTCTAATGCACCTCCACAGTTTTACCTACCACAGGAGAGTTTACCCTGGTGATAAGATATTTCTCTTATCTCCTACAAGCCATCCTTCATACTGCTGCTGCCAGAGTAATCTTTCTAGAATACAAATATAAGATCATTCCCCTTGTTTAAATTTCCCTAATAAAAAAGTCCAAAATCCTGAGAATAAATATAATCTGACCTGTGCTTTCCTTTCCAAACTTACTTTTTCCTTGTTCATCACAATTTTTGCATAGCTTTGTGTCTAAGTTTGTCTGTTCTTCAACTTAACCCCAATTCAAGTGTCACCTCTGTGAAGCCTGAGTTTCTCACTCTCCCTTCCCCTCTTACACACTCTTTGTATGTAAGTTCTGTAATTATCTGCATTTACATCTTACTTTTCACTGGAGCCATTTAAAGGCACAACTGCAATTAAAAAAAAAAGAAAAGAAAGGGAAATGATTAAATACACTAACAAAAATGCTAAATAGAAAAATAAGGAAAAGCAATTGAGTTACAACTATAACTGACTAATCTCCTTCAAGGCTAAAGAAAATCTATCCCTATCTATACAGAAGCCTAAGATCAAACCAACACTTACCAGATTTAATTTTAAGCTTGTCAAGATACAATTTCTAACTGAACCTTGGTTTAAACAAAAAGAAGTGCTATTCAACCTTTTCAGCTGCAGCTGAAAATGGAATGACTTTTTACTGATGAGAGACACTAGCCTAATTATGTTAGCTCTCCTCAGATTTGAAAGTTTAAAAGAGTAGTCATTCAAGGGAGACATGCTAAGATGTACTGACAAAGTGTCTATCATTAAGAAAAATTAAGGGTGAAAATAAGAACTGCAATTGAATCTAGTTTATTCTATTTCTTTAAAGTTGCAACTAGCATATCTTAGTTATTACAGTGAAAGGAGTTATGGCAAAAATAGAAATAAACCCTATACTCAGGCTACTTTACTTCTAAATTACAGAAATATGCCACAGAGTAACCTGCATTCTTTCTTTATACAGTATTTGTAAAATAAAAAAGGTATTATTATAATCACATAGTGGAAATATGAATTAAACTGAGTACAACCTTGATATTAAATAAATTTGAATGAAGTGTTGTAACAAATATTTTGTTTGCTCACATTATATAAAAGTAGCTGGGAACTACGTTTTCCTTCTCAAATTCTTAAAAAGAACACCACCTCTAGGATGGATTACTGATACTTCATAGGGAAAACAATGAGCAGGACATCAAAACAAGCATCCTTTTAAGTGCAGCATCTGTGAAAAGAAAAACAACAAGATATCTTATTTATGACAAGTTACTACGGAAATCAAAGTCACACAAGCAGACTGGATATTTTCTGGTACTTTTTTTTTTTTGCAACATCATATGCCAGTTTACTAATAAAAACATGCAAGCTTACCAATTAATAAAGGTCTATGGTAGAGGCCCAAAATAGTATTGAATAAACACGCAGAAAGAGGACAAAAGCAGAAAGCCCACTCACCTCCCCCTTTTCTAATACAGAATAAAAATTTTAAGAAAAACCTTTGAGCTCCCATAGTACTTTTTTATATACATACTTCAGTTTCAACTTTTTATACTAAACTGCAACTACTTATTTTCATTTGTTTCCCTAATACAAACTACAGGTTTCATCTTTGTACCTTTAAAAAACACATATAAACTGGTGGCTCTCGCCTATAAATCCCAGCACTTTGGGAGTCTAAGGAAGGAGGATCTCTTGAAGCTACAAGTTCAAGATCAGCCTGGGCAACATAGCAAGACTTCGTCTCCCCAAAAAAAAATTTTTTTAAATAAATTTAATAAAAATTTTTTTTAATTAAAAAAATTTAAAAACCATCCACATTGGCTGGGCACGGTGGCTCATGCCTGTAATCCCAGCACTTTGGGAGGCCGAGGTGGGCGGATCACGGAGTCAGGAGATCGAGACCATCCTGGCTAACATGATGAAACCCTGTCTCTACTAAAAATATAAAAAATTAGCCGGGCGTGGTGGCGGGCGCCTGTAGTCCCAGCTACTCGGGAGACTGAGGCCGAATGGCGTGAACCCGGGAGGCGGAGCTTGCAGTGAGCCGAGATCACACCACTGCACTCCAGCCTGGGCGACAGAGCGAGACTCTGTCTCAAAAATAAATAAATAAATAAATAAAAACCATACACATATATATGCTTAAATAGCCTTTCTGGCTTTTGGATTCAAAATAGACCACAAATCCATGGATTAAGAAACACCGTGGGCAGAGGTTTTCTAACCTTCTTGGAAGAACCATTTGCTGGCTTTTAAAAAGTTAAATATCTATATAATTTTCCTTTTTTTTTTTTTTTTGAAACGGAGTCTCGCTTTACCGCCCAGGATGGAGTGCAGTGGTGCAATCTCTGCTCACTACAACTCTGCCTCCCGAGTTCAATCGGTTCTCCTGCCTCAGCCTCCCGGGTAGCTGGAAATACAAGCACCCAACACCACGCCTGGCTAACTTTTTTATTTTTAGTAGAGACAAGGTTTCACCATGTTGGCCAAGCTGGTCTGGAACTCCTGATCTCAAGTGATCCACCGCCTCGGCCTCTCAAAGTGTTGGGATTACAGGCGTGAGCCACCACGCCTGGCGCCTACATGATTTTCTCCGAAACAATCCTGAAATACTCCTAACCCAACTTTTGGTTGCAGAAGTAAGGTTTTTCAGGGAACTAGCATCAGAAGCTGCTGTTTCTCACCTAAATGTACATTCCTTGCCCCTTTTACATCATGACATTTGAGAAAGACCTATTCTGGACCTAAGTGTTCTATAAAAGTAATTCTGATTGTCTTCCAAATAACTGTCATTACTTTTAAGTTTCATATATAATAACGAAATTAAAAATCATCACACTATGTGAATTACAACCAGTAATGAAAGTCTTTAAACAATTTTTGCAATGATCACAGATTAAGTCAAGATAGTGTTTTACAAACCCATTATAAAACAGGAAACCTTCGGATGATTGATTCCTCTGTATAAATGCTGAGTAAACTCAGTAATGTTTAAAACTGAGAATAAGGTTAGAAGTAGGAAAAATCTGGAATGTTACTATTTCCTTTCTCAACTTACCCGTAATCTCCACCCTCGCATACACATTCCTCCACTCTAACGTATTAAAATAAAAATGCTGATAAGTTTATCTTTCTCTCTCTGGCCCTCATTTAGTCAGCACGAAGTTACACAATGTGCAAAAGTGAACACAGATAGAAACGTAAAGGAGGTAAAGTGTTCCAAAAAGATCAAATGAATCAAAAAGCTCTGAAACAGACTTGGTAAAGACACCAGAGTTGTTTTTTTTTTACCCCTCCCCCCCCCACTTTAAAAGGCAGCAACCGGAATAAATCAAGATAAAAACAGAATCACAAAAATAGTGCAGGACTGTGCAGATTAAAACTTTACAATTTTCAACGTCAAACTGCAATATGATAAAGCAACAATATTACTTAAACTGTTTATGAATATTTTTTCTCTAACAATCCAAGTCAACTTCATATAAAACACAAAGTTTCTGTACCAGCAAAAATACAAATGCTAATGAAACTTGGGCTTCTAAGGTATTATTACAAATCAGACTTAACTGTCTTAGATTTCATAAGCTTAACCCAATCCACAGCACGTTAATATACCCAATGAAGCAGTCTTAAGAATAACGCTATAGTGTGACACATGGGGAATTACCAAAGAACAACTTAAAGTATACTGACACAGGGAGAAATAAGCGGTTCTGATGATTCAAAGTTACACTCGTCTCACAGACCTAGTAATGACGCTAAAGGGAACTTTAGTGACACACCCAGCGCCGACCGCCACGTTAAGGATACAGCTCTTCCGAGGTGGAGAGGGCTCTCGCCAGCTCTGACTGCTGCTGAACCCGGATCCTGCTCCTCCTCCCAGAGGAGGTCTGCACCCCGGCTTGCCTCCTCGCTCACCCACTCCTCGCCCCCGACTCCAGCGACTCCCACCCCGGTAAGGCCTGCCTCGAAAGCGGAAACGGTCCAAGGCGAGGTGGCTCCGCTCCCAGAAAGACGGCCGGGGACTGCTTTCGGACAGTGAGCTCGAAGGCATCCGTACAGAAGGCGGATGAGACCGGAACGGTTCTTTGGGTCGGTAGCTGCTGGGTCCCCTGAGGTGGCCCCGCTCAGACGCGTGCCGCGAGCGTGAGAAATTCCTCAGCTGCTGCTGAGAAGAGGACGATGACGAGGAAGAGCCACCGCCTCCGCCAGATCCACCGCCCCGGGCCGAGTGAGGAGGCCTTCGCCGCGGATAGGGTAACAGCCCGCCGCCGCTGCTGCTGCTGCTGCTCCGACTCCGTATCTGGCTGTTATTATCGTCGTCACTGATTTCCCCATCTTCAAGCTCCCCTTCTTCCTTCGGCGAGAGGCCACTGGAGGCCGGGGCCGGAGTATCTGCGGTCGCCATCCGGGGAGCAGCGCCTTCCACACAACCTTAGCCCTCCGTCCGGGGATCCGCCCGACAATTGCCTCGTTTCCCTTCTTTCCTAACGGACTGGGTCGGTGCGGTCTTACCCTACTCGGACACCAAGCGGCCTCTGCTCCCCAACTTCCCCGCACCCCAGCACCCCAGCTCTCTCTCGCCGGACCGTCGCAACCCAGTTCCCTTTCCTAGCGCCCCCTTGCTCCTCAGCGATCGGGGTTCTTCCGCCTCGCGAGAAAGGGACTCTGGTAGCGGCTGTACCCGAAACGTCACTTCCTGCGACACGCAGGAAACAAAGGCTCCCAGTTCACGCGATAATAAGACCAACTCGATACTCACTAGGATTTGTAGTCTTTCGTCTTTCTTCGGGTTTACTCTTCCGGTCCTAGGGTCACACCCACCGCAGGGTCTGGCTTGGTACAGTTGGGTGCATGCAGAAGTAGGTGGAGCTGCTGTTGCAGCCTTGAGAGAGTTTTATTGTAAAACTCTTGTAATTTATAGTAATCGGAGGGGAAAACACCTCTTCCTTTTAATTGCTCTGAGGACCGCTGCCAAAGAAACGCAGTAGATCCGCTCCCTCTTGGGGGCGGGGAGAAAGAACGGGTTGTGTCCGCCATGTTGGTGAAGTCAAGCGAAGGCGACTAGAGCTCCAGGAGGGCCAGTTCTGTGGGCTCTAGTCGGCCATATTAATAAAGAGAAAGGGAAGGCTGACCGTCCTTCGCCTCCGCCCCCACATACACACCCCTTCTTCCCACTCCGCTCTCACGACTAAGCTCTCACGATTAAGGCACGCCTGCCTCGATTGTCCAGCCTCTGCCAGAAGAAAGCTTAGCAGCCAGCGCCTCAGTAGAGACCTAAGGGCGCTGAATGAGTGGGAAAGGGAAATGCCGACCAATTGCGCTGCGGCGGGCTGTGCCACTACCTACAACAAGCACATTAACATCAGCTTCCACAGGTAACCTGGGCAGGGAGTGGGGGTGACGGAAACTGGAGTTCCTATTGTGGCTATCGCTTGTGTGGAAGGAACAGGAGGATTCTGCTAATTCTAATAACTTTCCCAGCTGGTAGCAGGGAAGCATCGTATGTCCTTTGTGTTTCTCAAATCTGCCCAATTGTTCTCTGCTTTCGGGGAAGCTTTACTCATTTTCTAAAAGAAATCCAAGTACTGTTTGGTCATTACCCCTTAGTAAAAAAAAGTAACAGGAGGATATCGTAATTTTCTACTGTTTTATTCCTCTGTTAGACCGGGCCTTGACATGAATGACGCCGTAAGGGAGAAAGAGATCTTCCCAATCAGCAATCACCGTAAAAGCCTGCTGTGTTCCCGTTAAAATTAGGAAATTCTCACTAGATGAATTGACATGGGAGGCATTTAGATTTCTAATAGTCACATAGTAATTCTGCGGAGGAATTGAGTCATCTTTGATAGCCATGGAATTAAGCGATGTTAATTAAAGTGCAAAAGATAACCTTTCTGTTCTTACTAGAATAGAGTAATAAAAAGAACCTAGGTTTTCTTTTGTTTGCTGGAAGAAAAATCAAAATTCTTTAGTTCTGTCAAACCAGAACTCTTGAAAGCACTTTGAACAATGCCTGGAAAATAACAGGTACTCTGTAAATGTTTACCTTCTCTGCAAGTGCCTGCCACGTGCCCGAAGAAAAGACACATTAAAAAGTTAAGTGACACCAGTCCTGATTTTATATATTTTATATACCTAACAACGTATATGTTAGTATGTAGAAATTATATCCTTGACCTTTTTCCCTACCTATTACGAACTGTACTTTTATTAAAAGCTGCCACTTAAAAAAAATCTTGTGATGTTTCTGTTTTTAAACTAGTTCATGCATATGTAGTGCTTTGTTCATTCATCCATCAAATATGTACGGAGTTCCTAATTACCTGACATTGTGCTAAGGATCCAGAAAGTTCTAACCCTCCTGGAATTTAGAATTTAATGGTGGAGAAAGACATAAATAATTAAGTGCCACAGAAGAAACATTCAGAGACCTAACTTAGTCTTGGAAAGTCAAAGAACACTTTTTCAAAGGATGTGACATTTCAAATGAGACCAAAGGATGACAGATTGGGTCCTGTGTGCTACTTAAGTATTTTCTGTTTTATCCTAAGAGTACTTGAGAAACCATGGAGGGTTTAAAAAAGAATGGCACGATTAGATTTGCATATTGAAAAGTCCTCTGGCTGCAGTGTAGAGAATCGTAGTGTTACTGAAAGTGCTGGTCAAGCATCATCGGGAATGAACTTGATGAGAAAGGAACTTATTACAGAATATTAATTTACCTATTTTTTTCCTTCACAGGGAAATCTTGCTACAATGTCAACTAAACTAAACCCTTTACTCAGTTGCTGGCACAATCAGCATTGAATTAGGGAATGTGTGAGCTGACAGAGAAAAACTAGTTAGGAAGCTGTAGTAAATAAAACAAGGAAAGTCCACCCAAATTTCTAGACTAGGGTGATATTAGAGTAGAAATGGAGAGGAGGGGACAGATTGGAGAAATGTTCAAGGAGAAACTACTGAATTTAGTAATTTGATTGGATAGATGAGAGAGGGGAGTCCAGACACCAATAACAATGTTTAACCCAGTGTGGTGGCTCACACCTGTAATCCCAGCACTTCGAGAGGCCAGGGCGGGCTGATCACTTGAGCCCAGGAGTTTGAGACCAGCCTAGGCAACATGGTGAAACCTCGTCTCTACAAAAAAATACAAAAAAATCAGCTGGCCCTGGTGACGCATGCCTGTAGTCCCAGCTACTCCGGAGGCTGAGGTGGGAGGACTACCTGAACTGGGGAAGTTAAGGCTGCACTGAGCCATAATCATGCCACTGTACTCCAGCCTGGGCAATACAGTGAGACCCTGTCTCAAGAAAAAACAAAAAACAAAACAAAAAAAAAGAGATGGATGGTGGTACAATAACATGCATAAAATTTGCCTACTATGAATTTAACATTTTCATGTGTAACCTCAGAAATTTAGGTCTTAAAATAGTATTCATTATAATAAAAATACATTCCTATTTTGTAAATACAAACAAGGATTAATTGATTCACTCCTTTTCTACTGGGACATTAGTAGACTTTTTTTTCTTTTTCTTTTTCTTTTTGAGACAGAGTCTCATTCTGTCACCCAGGCTGGAGTGCAATGGTGTGATCTTCGCTCACTGCAACCTCCACCTCCTGGGTTCCAGCAATTCTCCTGCCTCAGCCTCCCGAATAGCTGGGACTACAGGCATGCCCACATGCCTGGCTAATTTTTATATTTTTTAGAAGAGATGGGGTTTCACCATATTGGCCAGGCTGGTCTCGAACTCCTGACCTTGTGATCCACCTGCCTCGGCCTCCCAAAGTGTTGGGATTACAGGCGTAAGCCACCACGCCTGGCCATTAGTAGACTTCTGTATCTCTATGTGCAAGTTATTTTGCCTAAACTTACTGTCTCTATCTTTCTTACCTCTTAGCCAACTCAAGTCTTAAGTCTCCCCAGTAATCTTCTGAAATTGCTCTTGCTAACATGACCTTAATGTCTCTCTACATTCATTTTTCATGGTATGTGATCATTTCCTCCATGAAATACTCTCTATGACACTAATTTTATGATTATCTTCTGACTTTTTTGGCCTGTCTTCAATCTCTTTTGCTACTCTTCTCTCTACTCCTTAAGCCAGGTCTTCACATTCGTATCAGAATAATTTCAGCTGTTCTGTGGTCTCAGCATCTACTTGTTGATGCCTCCCAAATCAGTATCTCCAGTCCATCTCTGTCTAATGAGTTCCAGACCTATAGGCCAAGTGTCTACTCAGTATTTCTCTGGTCTCCTTTTAGTTACCCAGATTCATTATCTATATTAACAAACTGCCCTTCCCCAAACTTACCCCCACTTCCTGTACTCTGCTTCTCAGTAAATGAAGATCTACCCATCTGGAAACTTGGAAGTCTTCCTCCCTTGACTTCTCACCATTACCCCTTGATTAGATTATTACAGTAGGCTCTTAACTGGCTCACTGCTTCCATCCATGCACTCCTAGGCACTCTTCTGTAATCAATAGTATGTTGCTAAATATTTAATAAATGTTCTCTAGGGAGGGGGAAAAGCCCTGATTTGTAGTGTTTCCCCACCTTCTATGATGTAAATACTACTACCAAGTCTAGTTTCAAGCTATCAATATGACATCACTGATTATGGAGTTGGAAAGAGATGTGCAGTTTCACACTATTTTAGTATTTCCACCATACAGATACAACAGACAACCTTAAGAGTAAAGGTAACAGTAAAATCACTAGGAAATTTGGGGGTTTTGGTATTTATTACCTTTCATTTTAATTTATTTAATTGCAACTTTATATTAGTTTAATTTTAATAATGGCTGTGTTTAACAACTGGCTTACAGATTTTCTGTTAACAATCAGCTCCCACAATTCAGCCTTTTAATGGCTTACCATTGCCATTTTGGATAAGGTGGATAAGGTTCAAAATTACTCTTTGACTTAGAAGGCCCTCCAGCATTGTTTCATAACACTATTCTCTGTCCCCAAGATATTCTTAACACTCTACTGTCCCACCCTAACTTCTCTAGCTGATTCCTATAATTTTTAAGGCCTCCTGACTAGACTAGCTCTTCCTGTTTTACGGTTCCACACAACCCTGTACTTATGCTTTTATAAGACTCATCGACACTTGTAGTTACTTTTATTATAATAATAAATAGCATTTATTTAATATTTAGCATGTACTGTGCACTGGGCTAAGCATTTACTGACATTTTTTCATTTAATCCTTATGACCACACTAGGTGCCATTCTTATCCCCACTTTACATATGATAAAAGGAGACCTAAAAAGGTTAACTTGCCTAAAGTCACCCAGATATTATGCAAAGGAGCCAGGATTGGTGCCCTGGTTTGAGTCCAGAGACAGTGGCCACTCTATTCTATTGCATCCAGCTATTTGATTCCCTACCTTCCCCATTACAGTATACGCTCATGGAAGAGAAGTCCTATGTCTATTTTGTTTCCTACTGTGTCTTCAGTGCCTAGGACAGTGCTTGGAATGTATGAGGCATTCAACTAATTATTGAAGATGCACACAGAATAGCACTGTTTAAACTACTGAGTGATTTTCCAAAACATCAAATATTTATAAGAGCCTGGTTCTATTACTGTCTAGATAAGAATATATCCTGTTACCATCATCTTAATTTTATTGTATTTATGTGAAGATTTATTATTAAATTAAGGTGAACTTAAATTTAGCTTATGGGCTATATCTCCCACCCTTTGAATGTGCTGAGAAAAATCCAAACAACACATCCAAAACATGATCAAGGTTAGTGCTGTACAAAAACATTACACCAAAATTAAGTATAAAATCATTGATTATTCATATTGTTCAGCACAGAAAATCTAAAGACTAGTAGTGCTGAGTTAACCCCATTAGTTCATTCATTCATTGATTCAGAAAAGTTCATTGAGTGCTTAACAGATACTATGCTAGATACTATGCTAGACCCAGGGACAAAGCAGTGAAAAACACAGCTCCTACCCTAGAGAAACTTACAGTCCAGTGGGAAAGATAGAAAAGTAAACAAAAAACTGTGCTATCAGTGCTATAGCGACATCTAACCCAGTCCTCTGATCATGGAAAACTTCCTTAATAAGATAGGATTCCTAAACAGTCTTAAGTAGAATTTGGTCAACTTAAGATTTGATTCAAGGCATTGATTTCCTAATTAAGGAGCTAGTTTTAAAAAGAGCTTTAAAAGAGAGAATTAAGGACCTGAAAAATAGTATCTGAAAGACAGTCTTATAGTGGAAGAGTCTTATACAAATAATAATACAATGATAGTACTTATTCTGAGTCTCTATTGAGGCCCTGACAAGAAGAAATGTGTTTAAAGCCTGATTTTTAGCTTAGCCTTTAGGAAATATTTCCAAACCATCAAATACTGGGACAGAGATCTTTGAAATGAGACTAGATTGTCATTAAGAGGTGAGACTAGGCAGAGTAAATAAGTTACAGAAAATTATTCAGCCAGCTGCGGTGGCTCATGCCTGTAATCCTAGCACTTTGGGAGGCCGAGGCAGGTGGATCACCTGAGGTCAAGAGTTCAAGACCAGCCTGGCCAACATGGGAAACACCGTCTCTACTAAAAATATAGAAAAAAAATTAGCCAGGTGTGGTGGGCACCTATAATCCTAGCTACTCAGGAGGCTGAGGCAGGAGAATCTCTCGAACCTGGGAGGCAGAGGTTGCAGTGAGCTGAGATCCTGCCACTGCACTCCAGCCTCGGCAACAAGAGCGAAACTCCGTCTCAAAAAAAAAAAAAAAACTCTATTTTCTTGTAAAATAGAAAAAATGCATATGTGAATTGTGGAGTGATATACAGATGTTAGTATCTTCAGATCAGGGTACGTATAGGGTTGAGGGGGATGGGGACAGAAGATGGGAGAGTGTTGACTGTAAATCCAGACATTCACTTCTTTGTGCCCCTCATTGCTGGTAGTGTTAGCCAACCTAGTATATGCGATATACCCAAAGCTGTTACCTAATGAGGCTGCATTTGGGTCTTCTGAACCACATGATCTTCTAACTTGGATTTTGTGGTTCTTTTTAAACACTAGTCATTTCATAATTAATATTTAAAGGATAATGTAGTCAAACTAAAGAGTTTTACACAAACTTACTACATGTCAATGTTGATTCTTATATTTCCAAGTTACCAGTAGAATTCTTAGAGACAGCCCCTTATATTTGTCTCTTCCTTAATAGGTACACACTGGATGCATATCAGTGTACAGTTGACCCTTGAACAATGCAGGGTTTAGGGGTGCAGAAGCTCCCTCACCACACAGTTGAAAATCGGAGTATGACTTTTGATTCCCCAAAAATTCAACTAATAGCCTTAACCAATAACGTAAACAATCAACACATATTTTTTATGTTATATGTGTTCTGTACAGTATTCTTAGAATAAAGTAAGCCAGAGAAAAGAAAATGTTATTAAGAAAATCCTGCCGGGCATGGTGGCTCACCCCTGTAATCCCAACATTTTGGGAGGCCGAAGCAGGTGGGTCACCTGAGGTCAGGAGTTCAAGACCAGCCTGGCCAACATGGTGAAACCCCGTCTCTATTAAAAATACAAAAATTAAGCGTGCGTGGTGGCAGGCGCCTGTAATCCCAGCTACTCAGGAGGCCGAGGCAGGAGAATCACTTAAACCTGGGAGGTGGAGGTTGCAGGGAGCCGAGATGGCACCATTCACTCCAGCCTGGGCAACAAGAGCAAAACTGTCTCAAAAAAAAAAAAAAAAAAATTAAGAGAAAATATATTTACTATTGATTACGTGGAAGTGGATCACTATAAAGGTCTTCATCCTTGTCATCTTTACATTGAGTAGGCTGAGGAGGAGGAGGAAGAAGGGGGTTGGTTTTGCTGCCTCAGGCATGGCAAAGGTGAAAGAGGTGGAAGGGGAGGCAGGAAAGGCAGGCACGCTCAGTCTAACTTTATGGAAATACATCATAATTTCTGTCTTACTCTTTTTCATTTCTCTAAAAATGGTTCTATATTGCACCAATCCTTCTTCCCTGTTTGCTTTAGTTTCAGAGACCCTATTATAGAAGGGTCCATGTCATAAAAGAAGTCAAAAGCAGTCTTGAATAATCAGAACCCTTCTGCCAGATTTTCTAATGTCAATTTTTCTGGCATTGCTGCTTCTACAACTTCTTCCTCATCATCTGGCAGTGTTCAGAAGCACTCAACTCCATCAAGCTGTCTTCTGTTAATTCCTCTGGTGTGGTGTCTTAAATCAGCTCTTGAATTTCTTTAAGATCCATATCTTGAAACCTGTCACTGCCCACCTTTTTTGCCATATCAACAATCTCATTCATGATTTCCCTTATCAGCTCTGTCACAAAGACTGTGAGGTCATGCACAACATACACACACACTTTTCTTTAGCAGGAATTTATTGTTTTGGGCTTGGTTTCTTTCACCACTTTTTCTGTAACAATTTTCAATGGTGCAGTCCTTGTATACTTTCATGATGTTTTCTATCTTTGTTGGGGTTTTCTTCCATAGCGTTGGCAATCCTTTCCATAGAGTACCATGTGTAATGATCCTTAAAACTTCTGACCCTCTGATCTAGAAGTTGAATTAAAGACATTGAGTTTGAGGACAAATAGACCACTTTGACACATTCTGTGTTGGACTGGATCTTGGTGGCCAGGGGCATTGTCCAAAATGGAAAGAACTTTGAAAGGCAGTACCTTACTGGCAGCGTACTTCCTAAATTCAATGGAACCAATCCAGAAAAAGGGTTCTCATTGTCCCAGCCTTCTCATTTTACAACAAAAAGACTGGCAGCTGGTGTTTATCTTTCCTTTTCAAGGCTCAGGGTTTAGCAGGTTTGTAGATAAGGGCAGAACTGATATAAACCCAACTGCATTTGTACAAAACAGTGTTAGCCTATCCCTTCTTGCCTTAAGTCTTGATGTTTGCTTCTCTTCCTTACTAATACATATCCTTTGTGGCATTTTTTTCAAGAAAGGGCACTTTTGCCTGCATCAGAAACCTGTTCAGACAGCCTTTCTCTTGAATGATCTTAATGGCATCTGGGAACATCTGCAGCCTCTTGGTCAGCAGAAGCTGTTTCTCTGTTATCTTGACATTTTTTAAGCCAAACCTCTTTCTAAAATTATCAAACATCCTCTGATGGCATTAAATTTGCAGCTTCAGATCATTCACCTTCCTTTTGTTTTATCATATAACAACCTCACCTTTTCTCCAGAGTTCTGTATAAACTCTAATATGATTTTTCTAAAAAATTTTCTTTCTAAAAAAAAACTACCTCTAGTCCTGGAATACAGGTATGGCTTTCTTACAGCAATTGTGTACTCACATAAAAGCTGCATTTCCAATACAGAATAGAAAGATATTTCACAAAAAGTGCAAGGTTTTTGTACCTGCTGGCACAGCTGTAGCAACAGCTTGATGATTTTTTTTTTTTACAGTGGTCCTGGATTTATTTATTTTGAAATGGCAGGCAACAACAGCTGCAGACCTAAATCTATGTGGCATATATATATATATATCTCAAGCAATTCAACTTTTTCTTGTATTGTCATGACTCTGCTTCTTAGAGCACATCCATCATCACTAATGGCACTTCATATGGGTATCATGGTATTATTTAAGGTTTATGGTATTGCACTAAATACAATGAAAAATATGCGAGAACTGCGAGAGATCACTTTCTGCCATGATACACAACTTACTGGAGAGACGAATTGCTTAGACAGAGATAATTAGCATCACATGGCACTTTAAGTGGGTACTCACAGCAGTTATTGAGCTCACTACAATAGAAGATGGCTATGAAATTATTACAGTAGTACAGTATGTACTACAGTTGGTTTTATGCAGTTATTATTATACTGCATCTTTGCATTTGTTTACATTCTTCTGGACTGAATGATGCCATGTATGGTCTCTGTAAATTTTGATAATTTTAACTTTTAAAAATCTGTTTATATTTCATGGTAGTAAATGACAAAATAGACTAGTATGTGTATATTTCATGGTAGTAAATGATAAAATAGACTGGTATCTACATATATTTTATGTATTAATGACATACCTTTTTCTTAATTTTTTTGATGTTTCCAGGCTACATGGTTTGTCTGCAAGTTTTTTCCAATTGTTTCAAATTCAAATATATTTATTGAAAAAAATACACATATAATTGGACCTGTGTAGTTCAAACCTATGTTGTTAAAGGGTCAACTGTACTTTATATTTGAAATATGAAAGGAAAAACATTGCTACAAAGCATTTTACCTTTTTGTAAGTTTACTTTCTGCTGCACTACATAATTAAAGAGTTGACTTTTTAAAAGTATTTGCTGTTTACATACAGTATATTATTACTCTGTATTTGTATTAATTTAGCAAATTTTGTTGAATCCCTACTGTTTGCAAAGCATTGTGCTAAGTGTCAAAGATAAATACATAACAAGATATAATGATCCCTGTCCTCAAGAAATTTATAATCTTTATGTCACTGGAAATTAAAATGGAAAAATTACAAAACAAGGTGGTAAGTGTCTTAATGATGGGACATAGAGGAAAGAGTACCAGAATCTGCCTAGGCTTTCCTTGACAAAATTTAATCTTTAGATATCTGATTTTTCTTGACTACATATATCAGCAGCAGATTAAAGCGTGGTGAAATTACTCCCGCTTATAATTGTTCTACTTAAACTTGATCTAAATCAGTTTAGTCATGTTTTATTTACTGCCCAGATTAAGGGCTAATTGGGAAGAAATGTCTCTTTTTAAAAGCCCTGAAAAATAAACGACTCAAGTCAGTTTTTGACTAAGTTTTTCAAACTTATAAAACATTACCATGAATTGGTTTCTGTTCCAGTGTCTGGATATTGTTAGTTTAAAATTTTTTAGGTAAATGGGACACACTTTTAATCATCTTCGAAATTTCTTTTAATCATTTAGGTGCAGCCAGAATTATGATAGTTGGAATTTGAGTTGCATTTTTTTTTTTTTAAGGTTTCCTTTGGATCCTAAAAGAAGAAAAGAATGGGTTCGCCTGGTTAGGCGCAAAAATTTTGTGCCAGGAAAACACACTTTTCTTTGTTCAAAGCACTTTGAAGCCTCCTGTTTTGACCTAACAGGACAAACTCGACGACTTAAAATGGATGCTGTTCCAACCATTTTTGATTTTTGTACCCATATAAAGTCTATGGTAGGTAATGTTACTCTCCTTTTGTTAAAACCATTTTTAGAACTCATTCCTTTTTGTTTATGCAGTTATTAACTGAAATTCATTTATAGTGATATGCCTCAAAAAAGTTGCAGACCTTCCTCTTGTACAGTAAAGGTACAGGCTAGAATCAGAGTTTGGGTCTCCTGACTCCAATATTCTTTCCCCAATCCAAATTGTTTTACTATATTGGAATTTTACATTATTACCCATTATTATTAATAATTGCACCATTGGTAAAACTGAAAAATCATATGAGTAATGAAACCTCCAGCATCACTGTGCTCTGATTTTAAAATGACATACAAATAACATGTGCAAAGTACTTTAAGAGCACACAGCCAGAATTAAACCAAAGAATGTAAGTTCAGAGGGAGGCAGGCATGACAGAAATCTTCAGAGAGCTTGGGCATTCAGGGTGGGCTTTTGAAGCCTTGGGAGTTTAAAATAGAGGAAAGGGAACTTGGCTTTGCACAGAATAATTACAGTTGCATAATGAGAACAAAAACGAGTGGGTTGAGGCGTGAGTAGGAAATGTTAGCAAGTGATATTTAAAGGAAAGAATGAAGAAAAAATGAAGCAAAAAAAAGTAAATTAAAAAAAACGAAAGAATAAAGGTATAAGATGAATGAATTAAAACAATGTTTTATCTAGTTAGGGAAGATCTGACCAGAGAGGAAAACCTAGCTGGGAAAGACAGGGTCACCAAGAGTAAGAAAGGGTAAAATGAACACAAATAGTTTAGCTTTGAAAGGGAGGACAAACATGTTTTCCTCTGAGGAAAAACTACTGTTTCTCTTGTTTGTAACTGTTAAACTTTTAAATGTATATGAGTTATTATCTGAATGGAGACGAGGTTGTGGTAAGCTAATTACCACTGATGTTAGAAAAGCTCCAGGAGGACAAGAACTTAGTCTTTTTCACACGTGAATCCTCAGCACCTCAAACAGTGCCTGGGACATAGTATATACTCAAATACTTACTGAATTTGAAATACACCTTATTTTTGACATTTTGATAATTTATTTATTTAATAAATACAACTAAACTTTCCATTATGCCAGAATCTAAGCTCAGTGCTAGAGATACAAAGATCAAAAAAGAGTTCCTGTCAATTCCCTAGGCAGAGGGACTAACTGTAGGTTTCATGAGGATAGGAACCACATCATCTTATTTGTTCAGTGTTGTGTCCCCAGGAATGCATAGTATGTGTTTCAATAAATGTTTAATGAATTAAAGACACAGACTTATGAGGATATGATATAATCTGGAAACTCCCAGTGGCTTAGTATTGCTGGAGTATAAATCAAGATGGTAAATTGCAGAATGGGGTGAGATCCTAAATTGTATAGTATGCCATCTAAAGATTTATTTTTCCTTTAGATAATAGATAGGCAAAGAATAATTTGGCCAGAATGGAAAAGTCAAATATTCTAGAAAAATTATTCTTATGGCAGAATGTGGATTAATGAGGATCAAAATGAAGTGGAGAGATCAATAAAGAATAATATAGTCAGAACAGATATGATACGGGCCCAGTGTAAGTAGTGACATTAAGAATGACAGTGTTCAGCCTTATTGTGGAACAGAGAAAGGAAAAAAAAGAATGACGGAGAGGAGAGGATTCATGGTAGGAATATTTAGTGGGTAGAATTAATAGGACTTGATGACCATTTGAATGAAAGAGATAAAAGCAAAAAAAGTCTCCTGATTTTGGCAAATGTTCCTAGCCAGATTTTAAATCCTTGAAGATATAACCATCAAAAATTAATAGGTAAATCTGTTTAGAAGCTTGGTACTTAAGAATACATTTCTACAGATCCTTCAGTTTTCATTAAATAGGACCCTGGGTCTAAAATATTTATCAAATTGAGAAAAGGGTATTTAATTAAAAGGGGATCAAATTAATATCATAAATAATATCTACATATATTGTAAATTGACCTTAGTAAATTGCAAAGGATCTTTAAAGTCTCTATAGAGTCATAGTCAATAATTTGGAAGAAACCTTGGACGTCCATTGTCTATTTCCAAATCAGTGTTTGAATCTCTCTGGATATGGGACAAAAAGAAATAGGTGACTAGAGTTAATTCAACCAGTTAAAAAACTTAATCTTGGATTACATGAGATGGCTGCTGCTGTTTCCTATTAAAGTTTTAAAATTGACTTTTAAAAGAGCAGTTTAAATACTGTTATCCAAAACTGGACACTATGTGCTTATTTGTGATATTTCATAATTTATGTTCAACCCTCTAATTTTATTCGGCTCAGAAACTCAAGTCAAGGAATCTTTTGAAGAAAAACAACAGTTGTTCTCCAGCTGGACCATCTAATTTAAAATCAAACATTAGTAGTCAGCAAGTACTACTTGAACACAGCTATGCCTTTAGGAATCCTATGGAGGCAAAAAAGAGGATCATTAAACTGGAAAAAGAAATAGCAAGCTTAAGAAGAAAAATGAAAACTTGCCTACAAAAGGAACGCAGAGCAACTCGAAGATGGATCAAAGCCACGTGTTTGGTAAAGAATTTAGAAGCAAATAGTGTATTACCTAAAGGTACATCAGAACACATGTTACCAACTGCCTTAAGCAGTCTTCCTTTGGAAGATTTTAAGATCCTTGAACAAGATCAACAAGATAAAACACTGCTAAGTCTAAATCTAAAACAGACCAAGAGTACCTTCATTTAAATTTAGCTTGCACAGAGCTTGATGCCTATCCTTCATTCTTTTCAGAAGTAAAGATAATTATGGCACTTATGCCAAAATTCATTATTTAATAAAGTTTTACTTGAAGTAACATTACTGAATTTGTGAAGACTTGATTACAAAAGAATAAAAAACTTCATATGGAAATTTTATTTGAAAATGAGTGGAAGTGCCTTACATTAGAATTACGGACTTAAAAATTTTGCTAATAAATTGTGTGTTTGAAAGGTGTTTTTTGTTTTTGTCTTTTTAAACTACTGTTAAAAGAACAGCTTATGATAAGTAATATGTTTAACTTAGAGAAGAATTTTTTCCTGTACCAAAGTTGGCATATTGCATTCTAAATAAGATGCTAAATAAGAGTTAACCAACATTCAACATGACCTTAAAACTGCTGGGTTTTGTATTAATTAAATTATAATTGGCACTGTGATTTGAAAAATTTATAGAAAAAAAGGTACAGGGCAAGTTTTTAAATTAAAACTTTCTATATTTTGTTTTACCAGTAAAAGTGAGCTTATCATGGCCTCTCTCATAAGAATGATTTTAAAATAGGTTGTAAAATATTTTGAAAATATTTGAATGTGAAGTACCATTGAGTCATCCAAACTAGGTAAGGCCTCAAGTACTTTAAACTAGTAAAATCTAGTAGCTGATAATATTCACCTAAGTAAGTGTTGTAAAATAATTCAGAGTTCAGGACCTAGCTTAGATAAATGTATACTACTCTTTTTCTCATAATAAAAATCTTACATTTCCAACTTCAAAATTGGTGCTTCCATATTTGTTGATAACCAAAACTCCTAAGGTTTTTTGTTTTCTTTTTAACTACTTTCCAAATGCATACTATACCTCAGAAATAGTGTATCAATATAGTGGGCTTTTTTTTTCCTCTTCATAAACCCACAGTAAAATTTAATCACAGGAAACTACTTATATCTTCACACTTTGTATTGATAACTTAAAATGGCATCAGTTTATCTTAGACATCAGCTTGCTTTTTATCTCCTTTTTTAGTGAGTGAAATAGAGCAACTAGCATGCCTGTGTTCCCAGCTACTTGGGAGGCTAAGGTGGGAAGATCAATTGAACCTAGGAGGTTGAGGCTATAGTGAGCTGTGATTGCACGACTGCACTCCAGCCTGGGCAATGGAGTGAGACTCCTGTCTCTAAAACAGCAACAACAAAAATAAAGCAACCATAGTGCATAAGGGAAATTAAATGTTCCCTATAGAAATATGTGTATGTCTGTGATAGTGGTATGCAAATGCTAATTATTTTATAAAATAAAAGTTCAGAACTATTCTTATCATTGCCACTTGAACAATTAAAGGGTTTGCTTTATTTCACTAATGTTTAATAGGAACCCTTTGCTTCAAACAGCTTTGTTGAAATCATGTAAAAATTTGTTAATAGAGAATCAAGTTATTTAACTCAACTTATTTAATTCAAGCTTGTGATACTAACATACAAAGGTAGCATAAACCAAGTCATAAATTGCTGTAATCTTTCCTGTAAAGTAATAGCTACTTCATGATTTTTTTAAAAATTTCATTTTTTTGCTATTTAGGATTGCATTTGCTTGGCTCCTAGTAACAATTCTTTTACAGTATTAGCACTCTCTTTACTAAGGAATGCCTCCCAAGGAAATGCAAAGGTAGGAAAAGTCTCTTAGAATGCCCATGAGGTATTTAAAACAGATATTTATGAAAATCTTTTTGTGAATGTTATAAATCTTGCTAGTTATTTTATCTTTATCTTAAGTATTAGATGTAGTTCCTTGGAATTGTCATTACATATTTATTTTTTTCTAGTATGGTTTCAAATAACTTTTTGCCAACATATAATCATCATCAAACATTCACTGACCATATCTATTTTATAACTCAAAATAAGTTGGACAAATAATCATTTTAATAAAAACTATTTTTTCCAAGTATAACCACTGTCATGTGGTTCACCCTTCACCCCAGATACAAAACACTTATTTGTGTAGCCCAGTTCCCATCTACAGTAATACCTTGAAACCTTAATAAATTTTAAAAATCATAAAAATAAAATATTGTAAAATACAACAAATTTTGGACAAGGTTACTTCATCTTCATTCATTATTACCTGACAGTATTAAACTACTACTCAATAATTTTAGAGTAAACTTTTCTGTGTTTTCTCCGTGATTTTCATTGTGCTGTCCTGACAACATGCTCCAAACTCTTTGCATCAAATTGTTTTATTAACATACATTTGTCTACCTTAAAACTAGCTTTATTCACAGAGAAAAACCTAAAAGGAGTCTATTAAAATGCTGCTTTCAGTTTGATAGTTTTTTTTTTAATCACTCTGACCATAAACTAACTGAAATTATAATGGATTTTTTTTCCTCTCCCGGTCACAACACAGATCTTCTGTTCATTTGTTCTCTGTCTACTGGGCACCAACCTCTACAAAGAACCAGCCAAAGGCTAGGTACTTGATATAAAAAGGAATATTACATTATTTTCTGCCCTCAAGTTGCTCTATCTCCTGAAAGAAACAAGTAATATTTATAATACAATATGATAAATGCTACAAAAGAAATAGCTGTAAAGTCCTTTGGTAAATGCTGTTGAATTGGAATTCAGTAAGAACTATAAACTGTAGACCTTTTTATAATCAAATGCTTTTGTCTTGAAACAAAACAGATTCCTCCTTATATTGACTTAGCAAAGGAGGTACAAGGACATTGGCATTTGACCTGAATTATGGTGTTTTATTGAATGAGCTATAAGACAACATTTTTACCCTTTAAAATGAACACTGAACAAATGTGTTAATGGTATCTTTGTTAAAAGGAAAACATAGCTATAAATAAAATACTACATCGAAATCCAGCACTGGAGTTCATTTGAAATTTGATATTTTGTGTAAAATAACAAACCTATTAACACAGATTTTTAAAATAACTCAGAATCGTATAAAGCACTTTGGTACTTATTTGTTCTCTTTTCCCTTACATTCTGTGTGGTAGGTGGTATTATCTCTGATTTACACATGAAGACATCCTTGTTAATGCAATTTATTTATTCATTCGGGCATTTACTGTGTGCCAACTTGCAAAAGGAATAGAAATGTCTGTGATCTAGATAGTTCTAGATTGAACATAGATTTTCTGCCAACAAATCCTCTCTGCTGTTCACATTATCCTTTGTTTAACGTATGAACCAGGTTACTAAAATAGGATAAATCATGTGTCTTAAAATATGAAAATAGTAAAGTCTTTGAGGTCACTTGATCTTCTCTAAGTAGACTTTATAATATTGTGTTTTATCTCATTTCTCAATATTAGAATACGGGTAGATTTTAATTTTGCTATAATATAGGAAATGGTTCATCTTTGTACCAAAATATTGCATTCTTCTGATATTTAGACAGTTGGAAACTTTCTAAAATTGAGGATTTTGTAGTGTATACTAAATAATTGCATATTCAAAAAAATGTATTCTGAGTATGGTGATATTAAACATTTTTCCCCAAGGAAATTACTGTCATGCCTGTTATTTCTAAAAAATGTACATAAATATTTCTGTGAAAGTTCTTTTACATTGACCCCCTGAAAGACTTCTGTGAAGTCCTTCTCCCTAAACTGAAGCAAATGGTAGAACAAAGATAATGTAAAGCCTTGAAGAGAAATTATTTTCATTTTTGTTGCTCACATTATATCTAAATGTACATTATAGTTTATTTGCACTGTTTCAGATAATAGGCAATCTAGACAAGATATATGAACGGCTATGAAAATGGTAACAGTCTATCTCTATCCTGACCATAATTTGAGGCTCACACAAAAATGTATTTGCAGGCTAGGTACAGGAGTTCATGCCTGTAATCCCAGCATGTTGTGGGGCTAAGGCGGGTGGATCACTTAAGGCCAGGAGTTTAAGACCAGCCTGGGCAACTTAGCGAGACACCCATCTCTACAAAAATAATGAAATAAAAATTAGCCAGGCACAGAGGCATGTGGCTGTAGTACCCTAGCTACTCAGGAGGCTGAGGCAGAAGGACTGCTTGAGCCCAGGAGTTCAAGGCTGCAGTGACTCTGATCGCACCACTGCACTTCATCCTGGGCAACAGAGTGCAACCCTGTCTCTTTAAAAAAAAAAAAAAAAAAGCATACATTATCAAAGCACTATCTTACTAACAAAAGGGAAAGATTGTAATATTTTATTAATTTCTTCTGATTAAAATATTGTTTTGGGCTGGGCGCAGTGGCTCACTCCTGTAATCCCAGCACTTTGGGAGGCCAAGGTGGGCGGATCACAAGGTCAGGAGTTCCAGACCAGCCTGGCCAACATAGTGAAACTCCGTCTCTGCTAAAAAAAAAATACAAAAAATAAGCCAGGCGTGATGGTGGGTGCCTGTAATCCCAGCTACTCAGGAGGCTGAGGCAGGAGAATCGCTTGAACCAGGGGAGGCAGAGGTTCGCAGTGAGCCGGAAATTGTGCCATTGCACTTCCAGCCCAGGCAATAGTGTGAGACTGTTTAAAAAAAAAAAAAAAAAAAAAAAAAAAAAAAAAAAAAAAACTTGTTTCGAATACTGTAATTCAAAAAATGCTATCTTTTTTATTTTTATTTTTATTTTTTTTGAGATGGATTTTCGCTCTGGTTGCCCAGGCTGGAGTGCAATGGCGCAATCTCGGCTCACCACAACCTCTACCTCCCGGGTTCAAGTGATTCTCCTGCCTCAGCCTCCTGAGTAGCTGGGATCACAGGCATGTGCCACCATGCCCAGCTAATTTTGTATTTTTAGTAGAGACATGGTTTCTCCATGTTGATCAGGCTGGTCTGGAACTCCCAACCTCAGGTGATCCGCCCGTCTTGGCCTCCCAAAGTGCTGGGATTATAGGCGTGAGCCACCGTACCCAGCCCAAAAAATACTATCTTAACACTCATTAAGAGACACTGATCAAACTAGGATGTGCCAGACAGACATGGTGTCCGTCCTCAAGGTTACTGGAAAACAGTATTCCATTTCTTTATTCCTGCCCTCAATTGCTCCCCACCCTCTCCCTAAGGCCCTTTTAGAATGAGCTCAACCTAATACAACAAATCCATCTTCAAATTGCTCCCTAGTCTTTTAAAATCTATACTACAAACATTTAAAAAACAAAATATTCGGGTTTAATGTCAAGAAGGCATATACTGGTTGGATGCAGTGGCTCACACCTGTAATCCCAACACTTTGGAAGGCCAAGGCAAGAGGATCACTTATAGCCAGGAGTTTGGGACCAGTCTGGACAACACAGTGAGACCTCACCTCTATTTTTATATTAAAAATTTTTTAAAAGAGGTGTCTATTTCTCAGATGAATTTTCAGTTTAATAAATTATTTAGCAAACACTCCAAAATGTGTTATTTCTAACTCTTCTCCATTCTCTTGAACTTCCTATTTTCATGTTCTTTTTAACCACCAAACAAACCTTTACAAATTGCCCTTGTTTAGCTTAGTCACTGAGCAAACTCTTTGTCATCTTTCAATTCTTACCTTGGATGCTCCCCTCTCTTGTGTGACACCATCCCTAAACATACCAGAGTGACATAAGTGCTTTTCTCCTTGAGTCCTGTTTATATATGACTTGGATAAAGTCATCATCTTTTTATAATGTAATTGTCTACATGTCCATTTTCATCTGCTATGCTCCTTCACCACACATACACATGTGGTGTATGTGTGTTGGCACTCAAATCACTCAAATATTCGCACATTTCAGAAAATCTAAACCAATCCCTTTGAATTAGATTCAAAGGGATTGTAAATAAAATCTGATAATTTCCTATCACACAGTAAGTGCTTTTTGACATTAGGATAATTTTTGTGATTGGTATTGAATATAAATGTCTATCATAGAAAAATCCAAACTTTATATCAAAGAGCACTTAACCATAAATGGGTATTTATATTGTGAAATTTAAAGATCAGCGCAACAATGAACTTTCAGTTTATTCTATGATTGCTATAGTAAGTCTCAAACTGCATGTTTTCTACAGGAAATAAATCTGATGAAGACAATTAACTGTTGGAACCATTTAAACAAATGTGTTTGTTTCTTAACTTCTTAGAGTCATTAATAATACACTCTAACTATCCCATGTAGAGACAACATTTCTCAACCTTAAATTTGATCACAGGTATCTTTTGAGTGGTAGGGATGCCTACTAATAACAAAGAATAACTACTATTAAGTTAAAAAATATAGTTTAGGAAATGCCTAACCAGAAATTTTCCATTGCCAGAAAATGGCTTCCAAAGTAAATAGAAAAACAAAGACTTTGTTGAAATTTTTAAGATTGATAGTCTATAAAAATTGTAACAGTAAAATCGTGATTTTTTAAAAGTATACAAGAGCCCCTCCCACTCCCTTTATCCTTGGAGATACATTCCAACACCCTCAGTGGATGTTTGAAACCCTGGAAAATACCAAACCCTATATATACTATTTTTTTCCAATTCCTATATACCTATGATAAAGCTTAATGTATAAATTAGGCACCGTAAGAGATTAGGAGGAATACCTAATAATAAAATAGAACAATTATAACAATATATTGTAATAGAACTAAAATAAGGGCACTGTGATACTGCAACAGTCCATCTGATAACTGCAATGGCTCCTAAGTGACTAACAAGAGAGTAATGTCTATTGCATGGATGGATATGCTAGATAAACGGAGGATTCACGTCCCAGGTGGGATGGAGCTGGATGGCATGAGATTTCATCATGCTACTTTGGCATGCAATTTAAAACTTATGAATATTTCTGGAATTTTCTTTTTAATATTTTCGGATTGTTACCGGTGGAAGGTGTCCAGGTTCTTGGTGTTTTGAACAAAGAACTGGAAAAACACACAAGCAAAGCAAGGAAAGAATGAAGCAACAAAAGCAGAGATTTACTGAAAACAAAAGTACGCGCCACAGGGTGGGAACCATCTGAGCATAGGGGCTCAAGGGCCTCCTTACAGAATTTTCTAGGGTTTAAATACCCTCTAGAGGTTTCCCATTGGTTACTTGGTGTACACCTTATGTAAATGTAAATGAAGTACTAGCCCACAATCAGTCTGATTGGTTGTGAAAAACAACCAATTAGAGGCTGAAGCAAAGTTACAAAGTTACACTCCTACGCAAACGTCTGATTGGTTGCAGAAAGCTACCAAGCAGAGATACTTTCAATTTTCTATCTGCCACGCAGAAAAAAAGAGGGGTTTGCAAAGGGCGTAGCTTTGGGTCCTTTTGTTACTTAGGTATGGGAAGTTGGGGTTTTCCTTTTGATTTAGCTCTAGGAAGTCAGCATGAATCGGCCTTAGGTTCCCTGCCTCAATAGGAGACCCTATTCTCCTGCCTCAAGATCATGTTTAACCCTTGGTAACTGAAACTGCCTATTGCATATAAGAACTACTGTATTTTAATTATATTAACTCCTCTAAATTATTTTGGTCTTAAGCTAGAATAACTTTTATGGAGAAAAACATCTATAATTGGTCACTGAAAAAAATAGAAGGGAAAATATTCATCTAAAGGGTCAGTTCACTGACACTACTATTTAATATGCATTTTTTAGCCAGATCTAATAGTCATGAGAAAATCATCCCTGACATCCAGGGACTGACCTGACACAGCTACACCACAGTGTTGGGAGATAGCTTGACATTCACAACTAGGCTATGATTTTCCTATCGAACACCAACTAATCAGAGAGGGTCACTCTGTGACTGTGGTGAAGCAAGGCAAAAAAAAGAAAAAAAAAAAAAAGACCAGTTTATAATTTTGTCTAAGCAGAGACAAAAACAATGCGACTGTGCAAACCACAAAACATTAGCTTTCATTATTAATAATTTTACCCAGTAGTCTGGTAACATTGATACTGGCCAGTCAGCTTGGTGAAATAATCCAAACATTTACCTATGCAGAACAGACTAAGACAAAAATAAAGTAGGCACATAATACATTTCAGCATAAAGACCATATATGTATATTATCTAGTACAGGAAGCCCACTACTATTTAGTCCTACTTCACAGATTTGATTCTTAGTTAACTACTTAATTAGATGTCTTACCAAAGAAAATGACAAGCTGTCTTGGCATGTATTTTGAAATTTAAAATAATGTGAGCTTTTTTAAAGTAACTACTCTTGGGGCTTAAAACACAATTGCATACTGTGTCTGAAATGGATTTGGCTCCTCTTCTTACACTGTCAGCAATTAACTGAAAAAATTGATAAATATTATGTAATTATCAGTTAATTACTGTTAACCCAGGCAAACAAGTTAATTTCACATAAAACATGAAATCAGGCCGGGCGCTGTAGCTCACGCCATTAAACCCAGCACTTTGGGAGGCCGAGGTGGGTGGATCCCCTGAGGTCAAGAGTTCGAGACCAGCCGGGCCAACATGGCAAAACCCCGTCTCTACTAAAAATATAAAAATTAGCCGGGCGTGGTTGTGGCGCCTGTAATCCCAGCTACTCCGGAGGCTGGAGCAGGAGAATCGCTTAGAACCTGGGAGGCGGTGGTTGCAGTGAGCAGAGATCGTGCCACTGCACTCCAGCCTGGGCGGCAGAGAGAGACACTGTCTCGAAAAAAAAAAAAAGAAAAGAAAAGAAATCAGCCACGATTCAGATTTTTAATGCTAACAAGACGTTTTGCTTTCTAAATGCACACACCTTTAATATAAGGGGTGTGAGGACAGATATTTCCACAATCTAAGTGGTGTTATGACAATAATTACGAGAGCTCAGTAATAGAAACTATGTTTAACTTTACCTCGCTAGCAGCCAGGAGTCTAGCACATTATAGGTACTAAACAATGTTGTTTAGTACCTATAATGTGGTTTTGGAGAAGCAGTGCAAACGCAGCCGGCCAGGATGCCAGCAGTGCCTGCCCACGTGAGCTAGGCGACATCCCCCTAAGCGGCTGCGGCGCATGCCCACAGCGGGCGAGGCGCTAGAGGCGGGGGCGCCGGGAGGCGCGGGCTTTGCTCCTGGGGTCTCGGCCTTGGCCGGCTGGACCTGACCCTAGGGCGGCTTGCGCAGCTGTCGGGACGTGACTGCGTTCAGCCGCGTCGGGCGTGCTTCCCAGACTTGCCCAAGTTCGGGTGCCCTAGCTGCCCCTTTGCAGCCGCTGGCCTACCCGGCCCGCGGGTGAGAAGGTTGCGACGGGAGGTGGGTGGAACTCGCCAGCGCCGGGACCGCGGATTGGCTGCCTCGGCTTTCTCTTTTCCCCGTGGGCTCCGGCGTGAGGCGCTGAAGCGGCCGGCAGCCGGCGACCGGCCCTCACCGTCCGCCGGGTTGCGCTCTGCTTTTGCGGTGAGGCGTTGACCACGCCCATATGAATTGGAGCTCTCCGCCAGTAGGAGTTTCCGGAAGGAGTTTGAATTTTTGTGATTTTTATGCTTGTTTGGTCGGTGGAATATGTTGGGATTTATGTTTGCCTCTGAACAAGTGTCTTGCTCACATCGTAAATGACTTTCTCTCCGAAACGCTAAATATTCTTTCCCGCAGGAGCTCATATCCTTATTTTCCATGACAGATCTTAACGACAATATATGCAAAAGATATATAAAGATGATAACTAATATAGTTATACTGAGCCTGATCATTTGCATTTCGTTAGCTTTCTGGATTATATCAATGACTGCAAGCACCTATTATGGTAAGTCTGAGTGTTCTAAGTTGTTTCTCTGTAATCTAGTCAGAGGAAATTAAAACCATACCATTGTGAAATCCAAAACTCATATCCTCTGAATGGTTATGAATGGTTGTGTTTACTTAACTTCCATAGCCTGATTTAACTTACTAACATGATAGTATAAACAATGCCTTTAATAAATGCTTGTTGTGATAATTCGAGTTATACCTATTTCTTTTTTTTTTTAATTTTTATTTTGTATAAGATAGGGGTCCCTCTGTGTTGCTAGGCTGGTCTCAAACCCCTAGGCTCAAGTGATCCTCCCACCTGTGTCTCCCAAAGTGCTGGCAATACAGGCCACCACTTCTGGACTAGTTACACCTATTTCAAAATGTCTTTATATTTTATGTAACTATTCCATCTGTCTTGGTAAAAGATAAGTGAGGCGAATATAGCTTTGTAAAGCAATTACAGTGATGCTTTTAATTTTGAATAAGAATATTAGTAATGGGCCAGGCGCGGTGGCTCACGCCTGTTATCCCAGCACTTTGGGAGGCCGAGGCGGGCAAATAACCTGAGGTCGGGAGTTCAAGACCAGCCTGGCCAACACGGTGAAACCCCAGCTCTACTAAAACTAGAAAAAAGCTGTAATCCCAGCTACTTGGGAGATGGAGGCAGGAGAATCACTTGAACCCTGGAGGCGGAGGTTGCAGTGAACCAAGATTGAGCCACTGCACTCCAGCCTGGGCCACAGAGCGAGAATCCGTCTCAAAAAAAAAAAAGTAGTAATGTAGTTTATCAGTTTCACATGTTCTGTAAAAATAATAAGAATTAAAAACGGTATACTATTTACATTTGGAGAGCTGAAGGACTTATCTGCCATTTGGTTGCTTCAAAAGAATAGACTCCTTTTAAAGCCTAAAGCTACATTGCTTAAATATAAGGTACTCTGGACTCAGATCTTTAAAGTTTTAAAGGTGCTTTAGAGCATAAGCCTCCATTTACACAAACTTCCTTCTCCTATGAAAACAAAATACTGGTCAGTTTGCAACAAAGGAAAAATGAAAAGGAGAATGAGAATGCTTGTATCGTAAGGGATTGCCATTTCAGACTGTAGGCTTTTTGCAAAGAGACATGTGAATAGTTGGAAAGGGTTCTCCAGGCTACAGAAGCTCTCAGTGCAGTTCGTTCATAATGATTCACAGTGGGGCATCAGAGTTTTAGGGGAGGGGTGTAAGAAAAGATTCTTGTTAGTGACAGTATTTACTATGACTTGAACTAAATGGAATAAATCAGGATTTGTAAACTGAAATATCCCTCTGGGGCCAGTCACCTAATGCAAATGAATCTGTGTACGTTTTTGTGTATTAGACCTGTGGTAATAGTTTTCATTTCCAGAAATAGGATATTTCTCATCTTTTGTTGAATGCTTGGGCCCTCTTTGTCTTTCATTTCCCCTTTATTTTTCTGAGACGGAGTTTCGCTCTTTTTGCCCAGGCTGGAGTACAGTGGCACGATCTCAGCTCACTGCAACCTCTGCCTTCTGGTTTCTCCTGCCTCAGCCTCCCAAGTAGCTGGGATTACAGGTGCCTGCCACCATGCCTGGCTAATTTTTGTATTTGTAGTAGAGACAGGGTTTCATCATGTTGGCCAGGCTGGGTCTCGAACTCCTGACCTCAGGATCCTCCTGCCTTGGCCTCCCAAAGTGCTGGGATTACAGGCATGAGCCACTGCGCCCGGCCCATTTTCTCATTTTTGATAGAAACATAGATACAAGCAGTGGTTCACAGTTTTCTTTACCATAAGGAAATCACTTTGCCTTGGCGTTTAGGAGCCTATCAGGAGGGGTGGGAACTTTAAATGGGAAAGCCACGGCCTGTTTAAAGGAGGGCACCTCTCTTTACCTTAAGTCAATTCTGCCATGTTGGCCAGAACTTCCCAATTTTAAAACAGAAGCCAAGAATCTGGATTTTTATATGATATCTCCTAATCTTTAAATATTGACTAAAATTATTTGAAAACACTCTGCTAGCCAAACATCTGTGAGCTGGATGCAGCCTCTGGAATAATCAATTTCTAACCATTGAATGAGGTGTCTGTCCTCTGACAGGCAGAGAGGAGTAAGATCCTGTTACAAAAAGAGTTCGTTCTAGGTAGTCCTTGAAATTTAATACGTGCCCCCTTTAAAAAAAATGAACCAGAGGTTCATTTTAAATATCTAGATATCCATTATTATCATAAATAGCAGTAAAAGGTTTTCAAAACTTGGACATAACCTATTTGGCCATTCTCCAGTAAGACTGTTTCTCCGAAAATATGCATGCATGTCTCAACATAAATACAGTCATGCTCTGCCTAACAATGTTTTCGTCAATGACAGACCACACATACAACATGTTCCCATAAGATTATAATACCATATTTTTACTCTACTTTTTCTATGTTTAGATACACAAATACGTTATAATTGCCTGTAGTATTCAGTACAGTAACATGCTTTACAGGTTTGTAGCCTAGGACCAATAGGCTATAGCATATAGCTTAAGTGTGTAGTAGGCTCTACCATCTAGGTGTGTGTAAGTACAGTCTGACGTTTGCATAACCATGAAATCACCTAAGGATGCATTTCTCAGAACATATCCCTATCTTTAAGTGATGCATGACTATATATTTCTTTGGTGACTTCATCTTGGTGTTTGTACTTATGACAGTATTTTAGTCTAAAAGCAGTAACGGAAGTTTACTGCCAAAACTAACCTGTGCAAACTTCACACAATTTGTGCTCCACCTTTATAATTTTTCAGGTAACTTACGACCTATTTCTCCGTGGCGTTGGCTGTTTTCTGTTGTTGTTCCTGTTCTGATCGTCTCTAATGGCCTTAAAAAGAAAAGTCTAGATCACAGTGGGGCTCTAGGAGGTATGTTTTTATTTTGAATGTTTACAGTAACTACTAAGTGCTTGCTTATATAATTTAAATTTATGTTTTCTAAATTCTGAATATATGAGACTGACTACAAATCACAGTTATATATTTTAGACAATGATAAAGTTACATCTTGCTCAGCATTCCTATTGTCAAAATTTCAGAAACTAACGTACACTTTTAGTGTAACATACAAATTAAACTCTGTGATTGATACAAAGTAGATTAATAGGATAGATGAACCTTGACTATTCTGCTCCTTTAGTTTGATTAGTCTTCTACCAGCAGAAACACTGGAGCACTCCTCCTATATGTAAAATAGAGCATTTGGAGAGAATAACTTTTGGAAATTGCTGTTAGTAATCTCAAAACAGAGCAGTCCAAACTTAGTGTTCTGGATTAATTTTCCAAAACTGAGTTGAGAACAGGATATGCATTCATTCTTTTAGCAATTTTTTTTTTCCCGAGACAGTCTTGCTCTGTTGCCCAGGCTGGAGTGCAGTGGCATGATCGGCTCACTGCAACCTCCTCCTCCTGGATTCAAGCGATTCTTGTGCCTCAGCCTCTGAGTAGAGACTACAGGTGTGTGCCACCATGCCCAGCTAATTTTTTCTGGTATTTTTATTAGAGACAGGGTTTCGCCATGTTGACCAGGCCGGTCTCGAGCTCCTGGTCTCAAGTGATCACCTGCCTGGGCCTCCCAAAGTGCTGGGATTACAGGTATGAGCCACCATGCCTGACCCCTCTTTTAGCAAATTTTTATTGAACACTTACTGGTATGTACTACTGTTCTAAAAACTTGGGATAGATCTGTAAACAAAAAGAACGTGGTGTCAGTTCTCATGGAACTTATATTCTTTAGGGCAGATAGATAATAAATAAAATATATAAAACTGTTCAGGTAATGATGAAGTTTATGAGAAAAATGAAAAGATAATTGTAAAGTGTGTATGTTGGAAGATGTAGTGCATTCTTCTGTAAATGGTGTCAGGTGCTTTTCTCTACGGAGGTCATTTTGCACTGGTATCTGAAGAAGCTAGCAATGAGATCTGACAGAATCATGTTCCAGGCTGACAGAATAACAAGTGCAAAAGTCCAGATATTTTAGAGGCTTATTTGAGAGTAAGAATAATAGGGCTCATTTGACTAGAAAATAGTAACGATAGGAAAAGAAGTGAGAGATAAAATTGAATAAACTCTAGCAATGTGCTCTCGTGGTCCTATGGTTTTGTCAATTTTGCAAAGGTCAAAACTGTTGTACTCTTTTTCTTAAAGAGGGAACCCCAAATTATATAAACTTTGGGCTCCACAAGGCCTGGATCTCCCCCTTATTTCATTTTTAGGGCATAGAGAGAATTAAATGCGATAATTTAAAGTCCTTACCTCATTGCCTGGACACATAGCCAACATTTATTCAGTGCTTGTAACTATTATTATTAGGCAGAGTTCTTCAAAATCATGCCAATTCTCTTCATAATTAAGAAATACTGTTTAAGTTATATTGTGAGATTTCTTTTCCTTTTGTGGGGTAATTGAGAATTAAAGTTAACTAGACATACTGATATTTTTATATGAATTTTATTTTACCATATAATCAATAAGTATTAGGAGTGGTTATATTTTATCTATTTAACAAATGCTTATGTCACACTTTCTATGTACCAGGCACTGCTGTTAGCACTTTGGTAGTATTAAATCATTTATAACATAATTTGAACAATCTCTGCTTAAATATAATAACATGGACTTATGCTTTGCTAAAAAAAGTTCTTTCTGGGCTGGTCGCAGTGGCTCACACCTGTAATCCCAGCACTTTGGGAAGCCAAGGCAGAAGGATCACTCGAGTCCAGGAGTTTGAGACCAGCCTGGACAGCATAATGAGACTTCACCTCTACAAAAAAAAAAAAAAAAAAAAAAAAAAAAAAAAATTAGCCTGGCGTGGTAGTGCACACCTGTAGTCCCAACTACACAGGAGGCTGATCGTGCCACTTCAGTCAGCTTGGGCAACAGAGTGATACCCTGTGTCAAAAAGAAAAAAAAAAAAAGCTCTTAGATATCATTGCCTTGGAATTTATTATTCTTATAGAAAAAAAGGTCAAGTCCTTCTTGAAATTCTGTCTTCCTTGGGCTTCTGTGCTGTATATTGTCCTGCTTCTCTGACTTTTACGATCTCTACTGTTGTTTCTTTCCTGCTGCTAGAAGGGCTGCCTTGTAGCCCTTGGACATCTGCTCCTCTCCTATGTTGATTAGAATTAAAAGATATGAAACCTAACACTGCCACCTGTTACCAGTGCAAACTTGGGCATGCTGCCTAACTCCTAGGAGACTCACTTTCTTAATCTCTTATGAAATACCTCCAATAGTAATATCTTATGGACTTATTGGTAAATCTCAAACAAGATATTATATGAGGCAACACATCTTTGTAAACTATACAAAAATGTTCATTGTTAGTGATTATGTAGTTTCAACCATATTTTTATACGTGAATGACTATTAAATTGGCATTGCCACAAACATTTCTTTCTTTCTCCGTACCTCTGCTCACATTACTTCTCCCCCTCAACCTCTCTCCTACCTCATTATATATGCTGATTATTATTATTATCATCTGCATTAATAGAGAAGTATATAGAGAGGTTTGAAGGATGAAGAGACAGTTCTGGGCAGAAAACAATGAAAACTGCAGAAAACTGAAACTAACACTTGCAGAATAAAATTAAATGAAGTATTCTCACTTAAAAAGTTTCTGGTTCTAGGCTTCTTAGTGCTTAATGAAGTATTCTTATTGAATAGGATTCAAATCTCATGAAGTCATTTATTTGCTGCCAGCCCTTAGAGTTGGAAATGATCAAATGTAGTAGTAGATGGAAGCATGTCCTTAACTTACTTTCAGTAGTAACTGATAGTTCTAAAGTCAGGTAGCAAAAATATAATATGCATGTTTCTAAAAATTATCCTAGTGCTATAACATGCCACTTGATCTGCTTGAGCATAAAGGAAATCTGCTAGATTATAAACTCCTTGAGGACAAAGAGTATCTTATGCTTCTGTGTCCCATGTTTCTTTGAATAGTGCTAGATACATAATAGATGATTAGGAATAGATGTAGTCTGATTTTTAAAAACCTTTGCTTTTTTCCTAATTATTTCATTCTATGAACTGTTTATCTTTTCTTCTTTTTTGTAAAAAAAAAAATTATGGCCAGGTATGGTGGCTCACACCTGTAATCCCAAAACTTAGGGAGGCCAAAGCAGGCAGATCACTTGAGCCCAGGAGTTTGAGACCAGCCTAGGCAACGTGGTGAAACCTCGTCTCTACTAAAAATACAAATATTAGCCAGGCATGGTGACAGGTGCCTGTAATCCCAGGTACTTGGGAGGCTGAGGCAGGAGAACCGCTTGAACCCAGGAGGCAGAGGCTGCAGTGAGCTGAGATCATGCTGCTGCACTCAAGCCTGGGTGACAGAGCGAGACCCTGTCCCAAAAAAAAAATTTTTTTTTAGAGGCAGGGTCTCGCTCTATCACCCAGGCTGTAGTGCAGTGATGCAACCATAGCTTAGTGCAGCCTTGAATTCCTGGGCTCAAGCAGTTCGCCTGCCTCAGCTTCCTGGGTAGTAGCGACTACAGGCACGCGCCGCCACACCCAGCTTTTCTTACTGTTTGGAACTTTTTGTTTCCTTAAGGATAAAAAAAAATCTAATGCTGATTTAAAGTATATCATAGTAGTTGGGAATATTATCCTAGAGTATGACTGCAAGTCACTTAAACTCTCAGTGTTGTACTTGTCCTGTCTATAAAATGTGAAGGAATAATGGTATCTATAGCAATGAATTATCATGAAGTGTTATCCATGTAAAATGCTTAGCACAGTACTTGGCATACAAATATTTTATAGATGTTAGTTATTATTACTGTTTTCCTTCCACTACTGCTATTCACAGTGATATAGTTTGACCATGTCTCCACACAAATCTCATCTTGAATTGTAGCTCCCATAATTCCCACATGTCAAGGGAGGGACCTGGTAGGAGGTAATTGAATCATGGGACAGGTCTTTCCCGTGCTGTTCTCGTGATAGTGAATAAGTCTCACGAGAGCTGATGGTTTTGTAAAGGGGAGTTCACCTACACAAGCCCCCTTGCCTGCCGCTATGTAAGATGTGACTTTGCTCCTCATTTGCCTTTGGCCATGATTGTGAGGCCTCCCCAGCCATGTGGAACTGTGAGCCAGTTGAACCTCTTTTCTTTATAAATTACCCAGTTTCAGGTTTGTTTTTATTAGCAGCGTGACAGCAGACTAATACACACAGTTATAAGAAATTTTACTTTGCTACATCATGACTTTAGTGTGTCTAGGATTTAGAAGTAAGAGTTACAGAACTTCCTCAGGATCTGGGTATTTAGAACCATTCATGACAGAAACATATACCTCAGTGTTAAGAGGATTAGGCAGGGGTTCAGTCACAGTCAGTCTCTAAGCTGCACACTGAAGTGGAGGGCTCTGGTCTCTTGGAGAGAGAGCGAGCATTGCCAGAATAAGGAGAGGGTCACATGAGGGGGATTTGTGGCAAAGTGTTTGTGGAAGAGCACAGCAAGAGGGGGTGTTGTCAGGAAAGGCCACTGGTGGTGCTCTGTGTGGTTTCACAAGGGTGGCCTGACCTCTTTTTGGTCACTATACTTTGGGTCTGGTTTCAGTCTTTCTGAAGTAGAAGCCTCACTCTGTCATGTACCCAGAGTTGATTAGAGCCTAGAAAACTGGTTGAGTGTTGCTCATTGTCATAAAGGATTGCTATATGAGCCAGAATGCCACTTCATTAATCAGATAGAAGAACTACCAGGCAGAAGAACACAAACATCACTGTTCAGGCATGCCCTATTCTTGTAGTCAGGCCACTTGAGAAGTCAGATTATAATTAGAAGGCTGCTTTGGTGAGTACAAAGTCTGAGAAACAGTTATGCAAATCCACAAATCAAAGGTTCCCCTCCCTTGGACATGGTTCAAGAAGTCTGCCAACCTCTGGTTCTTTTGGCCTTCACTTTCTACATTTTGGGCTAGCCAAGTAAATTATTATAGAATATGTATGAAGCAATAGGTGAGCTTTGAGTTTATTAAATTACTATGAAATTCCAGTCCTGCCTTTCTCTTTTATGCCTCCTGGAGATTACCCAGGTCACCCTGGTTGGAATTTGGGGTATAACTCTACTCCCATTGTCAGAAATTTGTAGACAGTGTCATTTTACTCCCCCAATGCTATCTGTTAGGTACAGAATTTACCTGTTTTAGGCTCACAAGGCAACCATAGTCCTCAAGTCTTCAAATTATTTGGGAGTGCCCTATTGTCATATATATGAACCCCTTATCAATGATATTTAGAGATCTGCAGGATGGAGAGGTAGAAAAGGTATGAACAGGAGATAGCAGTTACTAATCTAAAATGTAGACATAGGTAGGAGTTGCCAAAAGTTCCAAGCGATCTTTACACTGCATGAAAGAAACCATTCCCTCAAAGCTTGTCTTGTTCATTTCCTCAATCTGAAGCTGTCACCAACATGAACATTAATTGCTTCATGTGGTATTTTAAGGTGGCTGAAGTAAAAAGGATATAGATGCCATTTGTAACATCTCAGTGTAGGTTGTGTAGGGCTCTTCTACCTTGGGTTTGTTTAGAGACGGTGGAACAAATTGTTAACAGTGAATATTCATGAAGAGGAGGAGGGGAGACACTTTGACTTTCAGTTTGTATACTTCCATGTGTTTTGACTTTCCCCTTCAGTAGTTGCATACAACTTTTGTAATGTTTTAAAAATCAGTTGAAAAAACTTAAAGGTTGGATAACAATATTGTAATATTTATCATTATTATTGTTGAGCTTTTGCCACTGGAACTGTTGCTGTTATTAGTATCCATGATATTAGGTAACACTTATTAAGGACCTCTTACATCCTGGATAATATAATAAGCATATTACAAAAATTATCCCTGACTTTTTACAGCAAGCCGGTAAAGTCAGAATTCTGATTATTCTCATTTCACCAATGCAAAATTGAGACTTAAGGAGGTTAGGTAACTTATCCTAATCTTGAAGAGGTAAGTGAAGGAGCCACAGTTTGAACTCTAGACTGTTCAACTCCAGAGCTGAAGCACTTTGTTATTATTAATACTTTATATCAAGTTACCCTGTTTCTGTACTCTCGATTAAAAGGTACCAAAGTTAAATACCAGTAATTGAGTATCTCTGGAAGGGTCAATGAGTAACTATCTCATTGGTTATGATATCTGAACTTTGAGCTAAGCAATGGAAAGGGTTATTATAGAAAAAGAAGGCCAGGTGCTGTGGCTCACTCCTGCAATCCCAGCACTTTAGGAGGCCAATGCTGGGCAGATTGCTTGAGCCCAGGAGTTTGAGACCAGCCTGGGCAATATAGTGAGACCCCATCTCTATTTCTAATTTTTTTAAATTAAGATAATTTTAAAAATATTATCTAAAATATTATCTTACATTCATATGGCATTGCTTGAAAGGAGATTAAAATATGGTAAAAAATGTGTACTCAAAATGGCATTCAGTTTACTGCTTGCTAAGAATTTAATTGGTAAAATGCAAATTGCTAGAAATGTACATTTCAGGTTATAATATAAAAATAATGGAAAAAATCCATTCTTTTTTCACAGCATTGATGTATGAATTGAATATAATTCTGTGTTTATATATGTTTCTTTCAGGGCTAGTCGTTGGATTTATCCTAACCATTGCAAATTTCAGCTTTTTTACCTCTTTGCTGATGTTTTTCTTGTCTTCTTCGAAACTCACTAAATGGAAGGGAGAAGTGAAGAAGCGTCTAGATTCAGAATATAAGGAAGGTAAAATTATGTTTGATATCATTCAAAATAGTAAACTTCATTTAATCCTAACATAAGGTTTTTTTTTGTTTTTGTTTTTGTTTTTTTTTTTGAGACGGAGTCTTGCTCTGTTGCCCAGGCTGGAGTGCACTGGCGCAATCTCGGCTCGCTGTAAGCTCCGCCTCCCGGGTTCACACCATTCTCCTGGCTCAGCTTCCTGAGTAGCTGGGACTACAGGCGCCTGCAACCATGCCTGGCTAATTTTTTTGTATTTTTAGTAGAGACGGGGTTTCACCGTATTAGCCAGGATGGTCGCAATCTCCTGACCTCGTGATCCGCCTGCCTCGGCCTCCCAAAGTGCTGGGATTACAAGCGTGAGCCACTGCGCCCAGCCAACATAAGCTTTTAATCAGAATGTTGTTTAAACTGTCAAAACACATCAATTTTATATGAGAATTCCTTTAGTAGCCAAATTGAGTTTATAATTTATTTCACAACAATGGGAAATGACAGCAGAATTTTAGAAGCACTAGAGTCTATCATGATTTTTCCAGATTTGTTAATAACAGTATAAAATCTGGGCAAATGTACCATAACACTTTTACTGTTTTTAAATTTTTTTGTTGTTTTTCTTTTCTTAAACTTTAAAACATAAACACCTATAACTGCATGGTTTTTCTTCTAAGGAGGAATCATTTGTTTGTCCTTTTCATCTGTTTGTTTCCAGGTGGGCAAAGGAATTGGGTTCAGGTGTTCTGTAATGGAGCTGTACCCACAGAACTGGCCCTGCTGTACATGATAGAAAATGGCCCCGGGGAAATCCCAGTCGATTTTTCCAAGCAGTACTCCGCTTCCTGGATGTGTTTGTCTCTCTTGGCTGCACTGGCCTGCTCTGCTGGAGACACATGGGCTTCAGAAGTTGGCCCAGTTCTGAGTAAAAGTTCTCCAAGACTGATAACAACCTGGGAGAAAGTTCCAGTTGGTGAGTTTTTTCTTCTTTTTGACCCATTGGTAGACACAGTTGGTGAGTCTTGATTTGAGATTCTTTAAAAAAACCAAAAAACCTCTTGATGTAATGTATTTTAGAGCCTTTTAAGAACTTTATTTAGTCTCTTTAAATAATAATTGGAAAATTTCTGTCGACTATTAAATTGGTAATAATAAATAATATTTGCAGGAAATGTTAGCAAGACCTAGATAAGCAATACAGGAACATAGAGATTGATTTGCAAACATATCAGTAGGGAAGGAAAAGAGAGGGAACAATAGAATATTTATTGAGGGCCTGTTAGGATATCAGTGCTTTAAGATATATCTCAATTCTCCATTATCAACATTATCAACAACTACATAGGTTGAGCATCTCAAATCTGAAAATCCAAAATCCAAAATGCTCCAAAATCTCAAACTTTTTGAACACTGACATGATGCTCACAGGAAATGTTCATTGGAACATTTCAGATTTACGATTTTCAGATTCGGGATGTTCAACTGTTAAGTCTATATAATGCAAATATTCCAAACTCTGAAAAAATTTGAAATCCAAAACACTTCTGGTCTCAAGCAATTCAAGTAAAGAGAATACTCAACCTATACTGCTTCTTTTTGTCCTCTGATGCTTCTCTTCCTCTTCGTCCCCTTCTTTTCTTTCTACCCATCCTATCCCCCATCATCACCTTCTCCTCCTTTTTTTTCTCCTCTTCTTCATCATCATTGTAACAGCTAGCATATTTTAGATACCTACTACAGAGCACTATTCTAACTGCTTTACACGGATTGCCACTTAGTACTCCTAATAATCATATAAATTGGTTCTTTTATTATTTATATCTTATAAAGAAACTAAAGCACAAAGAAGTTAGATAAATTAACTACAGTCACATGGCTTAAGAGTAGCAGAATTGGGCCTGGCAAGGTGGCTCATGCCTGTCATCCCAACTACTAGAGAGGCTGAGATGGGAGGATCACTTGAGCCTGGAGTTGGAGGCTGCAGTAGGCTATGATCACACCATTGTACTCTAGCCTGGTTGATAGAGCAAAACCTTGTCTCTGAAAAGAGAGAGAGAGAGAGAGAGAGAGAGAGAGAGAGAGAGAGAGAGAGAGAGAGAAGCAGAACCAAGATTGAAACCAGGCAGTCTGGCTTCATTGAACCATTCTGCTTCATTGCTTAAAATGTCAAGAGTTACCGAGGAGAAAATACTGTTTTCTAAAAAGCTACAGTCTTTAGATTGCATTAAAGAGAATGCTTTCTTTAAATTAGTCTTGATTAGATAGGTACCTTGCTGTCCTTGCCTTTATGTGTTTGCTGATTATTAACCGGATGATTTTCTGCATGTTTCTTCTTCAGGTACCAATGGAGGAGTTACAGTGGTGGGCCTTGTCTCCAGTCTCCTTGGTGGTACCTTTGTGGGCATTGCATACTTCCTCACACAGCTGATTTTTGTGAATGATTTAGACATTTCTGCCCCGCAGTGGCCAATTATTGCATTTGGTGGTTTAGCTGGATTACTAGGATCAATTGTGGACTCATACTTAGGGGCTACAATGCAGTATACTGGTAAGAACATTCCTTCATTCTTGCAACTTATTGGTATGTTAAAGAAATAGGGAAAAGAAAGAAAAAAATGTTAACAATGAAAACAAATCCAAAGACACAGGGTGTTGAGGGACTAGAAATGATAGGGCAAAGTCTCTTTCACAATTTTGGTTTTCTTATTCTTTTGTATTAAATTAATTGAAAGAGAATTAGTCCCGCGCAGCAATGATTAGAAGCCATGTGGGGAAGATACAATAGTGCAGAGAACAGACGTTTTTGTGTGAGCCATTACCTAATCCCAGAAAAGCAAGACGTTTGGGATCAGATCATTTTAATACAATTCCTTCCATTCATTTTCCTATTCCATTTGAGGAGTAATTGTACAAATCTGACTATACACACGACCTACTTTCTTACTGTGGTATCATGCTTGCTATTCTTGCCCCTGAGTTTTTTGCTTCATTAAGATATATGGTCGATGTCTGGGCACGGTGGCTCACATCTATAATCCCAGCACTTTGGGAGGCCAAGGGGGGCAGATCACTGGAGGTCAGGAGTTCGAGACTAGCCTGGCCAACATGGTGAAACCCCATCTCTACTAAAAATACAAAAATTATCTGGTGTAGTGGCGCCTGCCTATAATCCCAGCTACTTGGGAGGCTGAGGCAGGAGAATTGCATGAACCTGGGAGGCGGAGATTGCAGTGAGCCGAGATCATGCCACTGCACTATAGCCTGGGCAACAGAGCAAGACTCCATCTCAAAAAAAAAGAAAAAAGATATATGGTAGAGTGGTAGATATTTTTCTCAAAATTTTCTGTGCTTTGTTTCTAAGGCTCTCCCATCCTATCAGTGTACTCACATATTCTGTTAGGTGTGTATTTGCTCCACACTCTCATCAACCATGTTTCTCCTTTGATTGACATCAGGAAGAGGTTGGAAGGCTAGAGAAGGGTTCTCTCAGTATAGTCCTCCCAGCACTCTTCATGCCTCAGAAAATCTATGTGCCCTTCCTCCCCCTCTCCATCAGTCAGAATATTTGTTCTCCATTTTGTTAGTCTCATTTAGATTTTAAGGACGAAGCAATCTGATCTTAATTCTCACTAAAGGGTCAATAACTCTACACGCACACACAGACAGTAAACATGTTTTTTAAAGAGTGTAGGTTTTATTCTAAATTGGGTTCTAACTGGGGAAGTTTCTGATTGCATTGAGTGGGTTGAAAAGAAATGCATGCAGTAGGGGAGATTTTGTAAATCTTTGTGTGCCTCCTTTGTGCCAGCCCCATGCTCAACCCTGCGTTTACAGTACTGTGGCCACAGACATGATCCCTACTCCCAAGGACGTCATAGATCAGTCTTGGAGGGGAACCACTGGGAAGGCAGGCCCAACCTGCCAGTTTCATGCCCTCTCTGCTTTTCATGTTCTCTCTTCCACTTCTGAAGCAATTCCAGAGGTATTGACAGAAAATTACTGAGAACCCATTTATTCAAAGAGGCCATTTGTAATCAAGGGTCCCATGTCTCTCATCATATAAATGATCCATTAAAGTCATTTAGCAAGTCACTTAGAACCTTTCAAAGATTGTCTCCTTTGGAGGAAAAAGCCTATTTTGTTCTTTTTTTAAAATCAAGTACATGTACCCTAGAACTTAAAGTATAATAAAAAAAAAAAAAAAGAAAGAAAAGAAAAAAAATGAAGTCATTTGGGTTTTCTATCTCACTTGCTTCTTTTTCCATTCCAGGGTTGGATGAAAGCACTGGCATGGTGGTCAACAGCCCAACAAATAAGGCAAGGCACATAGCAGGGAAACCCATTCTTGATAACAACGCAGTGAATCTGTTTTCTTCTGTTCTTATTGCCCTCTTGCTCCCAACTGCTGCTTGGGGTTTTTGGCCCAGGGGGTGAACTTTATTTCATTTCCACAGGTTGAAACTGGTGAGTCCAGCTAAATTTGCAATTCCAACTTTCATCCTAAGAATAATAACTGTAATGGCAAAGCGGAAATGCCAGTTCCTCCTGTATTCCATTGAGATGGGATTTCACATTTTCCTCTCATCAACTCCCCTGTAATAGCTAGCGTCTTTCTAGTGAAAGAGAAGAATTCCTAGAACTTATGCATTTTTTTCCTGCTGAATGGAAGTCTTGAGCAATGAAGCTATATTGTCCCTACATATTACTATATATTGAACTGAAAGTTCTTACATAATCAATGTCAAGTTTTGTCTTATTTTGTTTTGTTTGTTTAAACCAGTGTAGGAAATAAAAGTGATGATATTTAAAATAGTTCTCAGTTGAAGCAGAGAAATGCCACTGTGCTAGTTGCCCAAATGTTGTATCTATTTTAAATAGTTTAAGCTGATGTGTATGGGAGCCTAAACAAGTGTAGTATCCTGAACTTCTCCCATTAATTGCTATTCACAATTGGGAAAAGTGTGGAGATTGGTTCCTAGTGAGTTTTGTGGCCTACTCCACATTTGTTCTTCCTTCCTCAGGGTTAGTGATGAAAAAAAGTAAATATCTTTTTCATATGTCCATTAGAATGTATGAAAAAAATCATTTTAACTAAAAGCAAAAGAATTTTATCTTATATCTAAAAAATATATAACTTACTATATGTTTCAGTTGCTCTCTGAACAAAAATTATCTTCAATTTAATATGTGGAATGTGTTTTCTAGCTTTCTTTGAATTATGTATGGCAACCTGGTTTAGCACTGGCATCCTGAACAGTTAAGAGTCACTGGGAAATTATTGTATTTCTTTATAAATTTACTGTCATATCAATTGCTGGAAAATGCTATGATTTTTCTATTATTACCTTCTAAGTTGTATTCTCTCTTACACTGTAGCCTCAACTAAGGCAATTCTGCTATGTTTGTTCTTCACTATGATTTACTGTGTGCCAAAGGAGTTTTGACAGGGTACAGAGTATTTTACTAAAAGTATTTTTAAATGTTTCTCATGTGATTTCTGTACCTTCTTCCTCCTGCCCCTTTTGCTTTTTTAAAGAAACTGGGGAAGGATTTATGAATACACCACCACCAGAGTGGATAATGCTTAGAATTCTTTATTGGTGGCCCTACTATGGTGATGATCTAGAACTGACTTACTTCAGGACAGAAGAAAAAACAATCACACCCTTAACCTTTAAGCCAGTTAGATCAGGGGGTTGCAACAATTGGGTTAAACTTTGGGTATACATTGGAAGCACCAGGGCATGTTTGCTTTTTTTGTTTATGTGTTTGTTTTTTGAGACAGAGTCTCACACTGTGGCCCAGGCTGGACTCCAGCACAGTGGCATGATCTCAGCTCCGCCTCCTGGGTTCACGTGATTCTCATGCCTCAGCCTCCCAAGTAGCTGGGATCACAGGCGTGCACCATCACGCCCGGCTAATTTTTGTATTTTCAGTAGAGACAGGGTTTCGCCACGTTGGCTAGGCTGGTCTCGAACTCCTGACCTCAAG